>NC_000011.10:34150909-34302424 GCF_000001405.40 Homo sapiens | reverse complement strand
ATTTGAATCTGACCAGTCATGGATTTCAGATAGGAAGAGGTAAGAGTTTAATTTTAGTAGCAATGCTAGGGAAAGATTAAAATCCTGTCTACATATCATCTGAGAATGGTTAAATAAATCATAGCACTTGGATATGGTGAAATGTATGCAGCCCTCATTAAACATTACATCTTTGAAGGAAATGTAATAGCATAGGAAAATACTCATGAAATATCCAGTTGTGGTGGGGAAGAGGGTGGAGACAAGAAACTGTAGCTGTACTGTGGTCCAGTTCTGTAAAAGCATACACATACGTGAGGTGTAGAAATACACCAAAGTGTTACCTAGTGATTATCTTGGGGGTGTACACACACGTGATTTTTATCTTCTATGTATTTTCTAATATTTGCCAAATGTCATACCCTGACATGTATTATGTTTGTGATGTTTATTTTTTTTGACACAGGGTCTCACTCTGTTGCCCAGGCTAGAGTGCAGTGGCACCATCTTGGCCTCACTGCAGCCTAAACCTCTGGGCACAAGCGATCCTTTTGCTTTAGGCTGGAAAGTAGCTAGGACCACAGGCATACACCACCACACCCAGCTAATTTTTGTATTTTCTGTAGAGATGTAGTTTCATCCAATAATTGCCCAGGCTGGTCTCAAACTCTTGGGCTCAAGCCATCCTCCCGCCTTGGCATCCTAAGGTGTTGGGATTACAGGCATGAGCTGCTGCGTCTGGCCTATATTATGTTTAAATGTTTTATTATGTTAAGCCTCCCGTAGCAAGAGGAAACTGAAGTTTTGAATACTCAAAGGTGGATCCATCTCTGGGTCACAGGCAGAGGGAAATGCTAAAATGTGTTATTCAGAGAACAAAATTCAACAGCATTTATCTATTCTCTTCTTTCAGTGTTGAGGCTAGGCCTTCATGCTTTGTTGGTGGATCTGATTGCCCCAATTTATGTAAGCTCATTGTTTATGCTAGCTTTTTGTTTGGCAGGAAAATTACATATTCATCGATTTAGATTTTTTTAAAATCTTGTTTATAGTCAAGTGATCATTCGAAATATCTAGTTCAAGTACACAGGGCCTTATCTGCTATCCCAGGACCTGAAAACACAATTTTTTTTTAAATTCATTTAATGGCAAGATGATGTTCTTTGAAAAACACTAACTACGGGAAAGAAGGAAGCACTGTTTAGAAGCATGTGGGCAGCTCCCTTCTCTGACTTCCTTCCTAACTGCAAGTGACCCAGGTGGACCAAGATGCTGTCAGAGGCCTTCAAGGCTGAAATTCCATTTTCTCTAACAGCTTTGGGGCTGGAAGGCTAACCAGCCACAGAAATATCTGGCAATCGGACAGAGAGACATGAGACCACAAAGATGTTGATAAAGCTTCTTATCCTCTGCTTCCCCCAGCCTCCTCATTAATGGCAAAGATTAAAGACAATTATATCTACCCACGGGAACTAGATGGATCCTCCTCTGCCCTCCACACCAGCCCCCCAGTAAATTGGGTGGATGGATGTATAAGTAAGGTTAACCCAACTGGAAAGTAGTTTATGATTCACTTTCATTTCATGAAAAACAAATCCAAAATGCAGAGCAAAGGAAGGAAAACAAAAGGGGAAGCATTTACAGTCCTTAGTGGGTTGCTCCAACCTAAAACCCCTTCTCATTGGTTATCTTTATTGCGTACCAAGACTTCGAGCACCTCCCCCACCCCCCAGTTTTCTTTTTTTAAAAGAACAGAAGATGAAAACGCTATGAGATGTATGAGCTCTGATTATGCCCAATTACATTTGGCAAGCCTAAGACAAAAATTAATGGGACCAGATTATTCTTCTGTGTGAGATGTAGTATTGCCCAGCCTAACTATTTTAGCTCTTGCCATGCTGTAGATCGTCAAACAAATTAATAACATGCTAATGGGTGCCTTTCAGGCTTCTCGTTTATATTAATGAGTTCCACTCCATCCGATAACCAGTGATTTATAGCACTGGAACTTGCAGCCTGGCTCTATAGATTGTCTTTTGTCACTCTTTCTGGGGTGGAGCAGCCAGCCTAACAAGCTAAATGGTAGGGTTTTGTAATTGAATTCTAAAATGTGAAACGCCTGATGCAAGAACATTTCATTCTGATCATGGCTTTGGAAATTGAAAGGCCTTCAGTACGTCTCCCACTACCCAACGCTGAATGCAGTCTGATTTGGGTTTCCACAACTTGTGAAGCAAGGGTGTGACAAGATTCTTAATGGAGGGTATTCATGCTGAGCTAGCATGGCAGTTAGATTCAGCGGGCTGTAAAATAGCTCCTCTAAAGAAAACAATATATTCTTAAGAGCCATAAAAGAGAACCCTTCCTCACCTTGAAGGTATTCCCACCCCTCATCTTCCCCCCACCAAGCGTAGGAGGCAGAGAGCTCTGACTCTGTGCCAGGCACTGTGCTAACTACTTTATTCTTGACTCATTCAGTCCTCTGTGTGCCTTTATGAAGGAGGCAGCAGTGTTATTCCCATTTTACGGAGATGAAACTGGAGCACAAAGAGGTGAAGTAGCTGACCCATTCTGAGAGCTGCTAAGTGGTGGAGCAAGGCTGCCAGCCCAGGCAACACTCTGCTCCTTTCCGGCTCACCCGCTGCTTCTGGCTTTGTAGCCCTCTTATTTCTAATGTAAGAGGAGTGCAGATTGGGAGCCCCAGATGAGCAAACTCCAAATGCCTTGGCTATGAGGGCCCCGAGAGTAGTTGCTGTCAGTTGAGCCTGGGAAAAGAAAAGCCAGTTAGCAAATGAAAAAATCCGTCCTCCTGAAGGTTTCAGTGAGGGTTCATGTGCTGGTTTAAAATGTCCCATCAGGAGTGGTGGGCTGGCAGGCTCCTAATGGAGCAGGATGGGCCGAGCTGCCACCTCCAGCAGCCTGCAGCCTCCTTGGGCTTTGCAAACAACTGCCTTCATTGTTTTCTGGGAGGAGTATACTACCGTGGCTTTCCAAACACGCAGCTCCTCCAAATAAGGGAACCTGATACCCTTGGAGATCTTGGCTTAAACATCAGAGGAACGTCTTGCTTAAATGATTATTTTTTTAAAAAAAACCATCAATTTGGATTTCATTTTCTTTGGTCCATGACCATCGTGTATAGCCGTGTCCTAGAAATGATCCGAAGACAGCTTATTTTTCATAAGCAACAGTCTGGAAATTTAATTGATATGCCATTCCTGCCCCCCAGTCCAAACCCCTGCCCAGTCTATCCTTTTTACCTACTTTGACTTTGATTCTTTTAGTTCTTCCTATTTTACAATCACCAGCCATTCCAGAAAAACATCTGCTAAAAAGATCCGTTCCCTGTAGTGGGAATTAAGTACATATTTTAACTTCAGACAATTTTACTTAATGTTTTCTACATTGCATGGAGCAGAGGATTAATGCAGACGTCCCTGAAAAGCTCCTATGCAACCTTAAGCTGTGTCTTCAATCATTCAAACTGTTCAAGGGCTGGAATTTGAAAGAGGGTGAGGAAGTACCAAGAATGAAATTAGATAAGGGATCTTTATTAATTTAAACATCTATGCAGGCCCAGTTGTTCATAGGAAACACTGAACTCTTTTGCTTTTGTGTCCCCAAGCCCACCAGTTTTTTATGAGAAGATCACAAATAAAATGACTTTTAAAAGTAATGGGTTTAGGCTGGGTGCTGTTGCTCACACCTATAATCCTAGCACTTTGGGAGGCCGAGGCAGGCAGATCACTCGAGGCCGGGAGTTTGAGACCAGCCTGGCCAACATGGCAAAACCCCATCTCTACCAAAATACAAAAATTAGCCGGGCATGGTGTTCTGCGCCTGTAGTTCCAGCTACTGGGAAGGCTGAGGCACAAGAATCGTTTGAACCCAAGAGGTGGAGCTTGTAGTGAGCCGAGATCATGCCACTGCACACCAGCCTGGGCAACAGAGCGAGACTCTGTCCCAAAATAATTTTTTTTTTAATTTTTTTAAATTTAAAAGAAAAAAAGTAATTGGTTTAAAAAAAAAAAAAGAAACAAGATCATTCCTCACCCCTACCCCAGGTTTCTTTCTATAACTTTTTTGCATTTTGAAATTAGAAATTAAGGCCTTAGTTTTATGCTAAGGCTATGCCATGAATGATTGAGTCTGGTTGGTAATTGGCAATGAAATGTGGATATGTATTCTGTGGTGTGTATTGGAGTAGTTGATAGCCAAGAGTCCTGGGTCTGGTTCCATTTCATACTCACCAAGTGAGATCTTGGGCAAGTCAGTTTGGTTTCTCTGAGTGTCTTAGTCTGTTTATGCTGTTATAACAAAACACCTGAGACTGGGTAATTTATTTAAAAAAAAAAAAAAACAGACATTTATTTCTCACATTTCAGGAGGCTAGGAAGTCCAGGATCAAGGTGCCAGCTTGTTCAGTTGTCAAGTGAGGTCTGCACCCTCCAGAAGGGAATTACAGTGTTTGTATATGGTAGAAGGCAGAAAGTCAGGATAGCCCAATGTCCCTGGGAAGCCTCTTTTATAAGGGCCTTAATCCCCTTCACAAGAGAGGAGCTTTCATGGCGTAATCACCTCTTAAAAGGCCCCACCTTTTAATACCATCACGTCGGCAACACCTGAATTTTGTTTTTTTCTTTTTCTTTCCTTTATTTTTATTTTTTTTTTTTTTTTTTGAGATGGAGTTTCACTCTTGTTGCCCAGGCTGGAGTGCAATGGCGTGATCTCAGCTCACTGCAACCTCCACCTCCCAGGTTCAAGCAATTCTTCTGCCTCAGCCTCCTGAGTAGCTGGGATTACAGGCATGCGCCACTACGCCCAGCTAATTTTGTATTTTTAGTAGAGACAGGGTCAAACTCCTAACCTCAGGTGATCCACCCACCTCAGCCTCCCAAAGTGCTGGGATTACAGGTGTGAGTCACCACGCCCAGCCAACACCTGAATTTTGGAGGGGATACATTAAAACCATAGCACTGAGTCTGAGCAAGATGATAAAAATTGGGTAGATTGTCTGGTTATATCCAGCTTGGAAATTCTCCAGTAGGGGTATGTTTTTGTTTCCGGATATTCTATGCGAAAGCACCTTAGAAACAGTTCACCAGAATTTGGCTGGCATTCTTTAAGTTAACCTCTTAAAAAATATGTAGTTGAGAAGACTGGAGAGAGAGAGAGCAAGCTCTAGGTACAAAGACTAAAGAGAAGCAGGGGACCTTTAAGGAAAAGCAAATCATTCATAAATCCGTGGAACACCTACTGTGTGCCGGGTACCAGGCTAGGAAGTGGGGATATAAAATGAATACGTACAGAAAGTGCCAAGACTAAATCTAGATTTCCTTGTGAAATACTTTTAAAATGTGTTTTCTTTGCATGGTAAGTCCTTTTCTGGCTACACTGTATGTATAAATAAAAGCCTCACTTGTTGAAAGTCATCTTAAAACTCATGAATAGGATAGGTGGTAAATTTCTCTAGGTCTTTGAGCAAGTCACAGGTCAGAGCTGTGCAGAAGTTGGGCCTTTTTAAACCAAAACATTTTCTTCTTCATCCTGCCATAACTGAAGCCTGGAGGACATCACTGTCCCTACAGCCTTCTCCAACTGTGGCGATTTATTTCTGCAATGTCTAGATATGAGTCAGGATCCTCCTTATTGCCATTTCCAGACCATTTCTCTGTTTACTCCTTTAAAAGAAATAGTTTTTTTGAAGCGTACAGCATTTCAGATTATGCCACCTGCTGTCTCTCCTTATTTCAGTGGTGTGCAGTTCTGAGATTCCTGTCTCTGCCCCTTCCTGGAAGATGCTGGCCTCTGCCTCACTGCCTTGCTTTGCACAACTCCCACCTCATTCTTGGCAATGTCAACATCCACAGGGCACACTGGCCTTGTGATTCCTTGACCTACTCACTTCCAATGGTCCTGTCCTTTATCTGACTTCAGCTACCTGCCCTCAGGGTTATACCTTGGGCCTTATGACCAGTAACTGCATCATCTCTGAAATTATCTTATTAAACTTCCTTTTCTCTGACTACCATTCCCATCTTTCCAGCTTAATTTTCTTGGTCCTAACACTCTAGTAGGATCTTCCACTGTCCATGAACTCTCCCACCCTCCTCCTTGTCTCCCTCCCCTCCTTAGATTTTATGCCCCATCACACTGCCTTGCCTTTCATCCTCTTTCACCCTTTCTGGAAAATCCTAACCCTGGTTAAACCCAACTCTGCCCTCTCCCTGCTGGCATCAAGGGAGCTCAATGTGGTTGAAGAATACGCACACACCATGCTGATTGGATTCACTTTATTTTTATTTACTTCTTTAGAGACAAGGTATTGCTCTGTCACCCAGGCTGGAGTACAGTGGCATGATCATAGCTTCCTGCTGCCTTGATCTTCTGGGTTCCAGCAATACTCCCGCCTTAGCCTCCTAAGTAGCTGGGACTACAGGTGCACATCACCATGCCCAACTATGAATTCACTTTCAGTTTTTAGCCTGTTATGGACTGAATGCTTATATCACCCCCAATGTGATGGTGTTTGGAGATAGGACCTTTGGAAGTGATTAGGTCATGAGGGTGGAGCTCTTATGAATGGGATTAGTGCCCTTATAAAAGGGACCCCAGGTAGCTCTTTAGCTCTCTTTCTGCCATGTGAGGACACAGTGAGATGTTGGCAGTCTGCAACCCAGAAGAGGGCCCTCACCAGAACCCAGCCATGCTGGCACCCTGATCTCAGACTTTCAGCCTCCAGAGTGGTGAGAAATAAACTTCTGTTGTTTATAAACTCTCCAGTCTGGGACACTGGTTATAGCAGCCTGGGCTGACTAAGGCATGGTCATGGTCACAGTCACATAAGAGAGCTTTCTGCTTAGCCTGACCATCCCATTCATTCCCTAGCCAGCTCACTCTATTTTCCCACACCTCTCCTCTCTGAAACCTTAAAAGCCTGCCATCCCTTCACATTCAACTACTGACTTTGTTTTACATATCACTGAAAATATATTACAGAAGCAATCAGAAGAATTTCCTTATATTACCTTTCCCAAACAGAGCACTCTTCCTGCATCTGTCTCCATATACCCTGTCAGCCCTCCAGCAGGGACTCGTTCCTCCTCCTGCCTGTGGCCAACCCCCAACTTGTACGTTAGGGTCCCACGACCTCTAGCCTGTGTAAGATCATTGCTCCTGTACTTCTCCCCTCTCTGCTGGATCATTCTCATCAGCAACAAATATGCTATCTTATATAACAATATTTTTATTTTTAATTTTTAAGGATAGGATCTTGCTCTGTTGCCCAGACGAAAGTGCAGTGATGCAATCATAATTCACTACAGCCTCAAACTCCTGGGCTCAAGTGATTCTCCCATCTCAGCCTCCCAAGTAGCTGGGACTACAGGCTTGCACCTCCATGCCTGGCTAATGTTTAAATTGTTTTTGTAGAGGCCCGGCGTGGTGGCTCATGCCTGTAATCCCAACACTTTGGGAGGGTGAGGTGGGTGGATCACGAGGTCAGGAGTTTGAGACCAGCCTGGCCAACATGGTGAAACCCTGTCTCTACTAAAAATTAAAAAAAAATAGCCGGGCATGGTTTGGGCACCTGTAATCCCAGCTGCTCAGGAGGCTGAGGCAGGAGAATCACTTGAACCCGGGAGGTGGAGGTTACATGAGCTGAGATCGCACCACTGCATTCCAGCCTGGGTGATAGAATGAGACTCGGTCTCAAAAAAAAAAAAAAATTGTTTTTGTAGAGACACGAGGGCTCACTATGTTGCCCAGGCTGGTCTCAAACTGGCCTCAAGGGATCGTCCTGCTTTAGCCTCCCAAAGTGCTGAGGTTACAGGCATGAACCACCACACCTGGCAAGAACCATCTTCAAAAGTCTTTTCACCTGGCCTCATGCACATTGTCTTTCAATTTCCGTCTTCTAACTCATAGCGATACTCCTGGGAAGCATTGGCCGTAGTCAGCACCATCATTTTCCCACTGATTCTCTCCCATCAGCAACAATCAAGGTCTCATCTCCACTGCTCCTTTGAAATCACTCTTCATATGGTATCAACAAGTTGTGTATTGTCAGACTCAAAGGCCCATTGTCACTTCTTTCTTGATCTCTCTCTTTTCTTTTTGACAGCGTCTCGCTCTGTTGCCCAAGCTGGAGTGCAGTGGCACAATCACTGTTCACTGCAGCCTCAATGACCCCAGGCTCAAGCCACCATCCCACCTCAGCCTCCTGAGTGGGTGGGACTATGGCCCTCCACCACTCCTGGCTAACTTTTTAAATTTTTTGTAGAGATGAGGTTTTGCCATATTACCCAGGCTGATCTCTAACTCCTGGGCTCAAGGGATCTGCCTGCCTTTGCCTCACTTAAAGCCTTGAGCCACTGTACCCTACCATTTTGTTCTTTTAACATTTATTTTGACATAATTTTCAGATGTATAGAATGTTGCAAGACTAGAACAAAGAATTTTCATACTTCATTTACCCAGATTCCCAAGTGTTAACATTTTACCGACCAGCCTGGCCAACATAGTGAAACCCTGTCTCTATTAAAAATACAAAAAATTAGCCAGGCATGGTGGCATGCACCTGTAGTCCCAGCTACTTGGGAGGCTGAGGCAGGAGAATCGCTTGAACCCAGGAGGCAGAGGTTGCAGTGAGCTGAGATTGTGCCATTGCACTCCAGCCTGGGCGACAGAGGAAGACTCCATCTTGAGGAAAAAAAAAAAATTTACCTTGTTTTCCTTACCCTTACCCTTACCCCAGTCTCTCTCACAGGTGCGTGTGGGTCCACATGTGCAAATTTTTTTCTGCACCTTGGAAGGGTATCTCAGCAGCATTTGACACAGCTGGGCACTTATTCCTTCCCGGAACAGTTCCTGCACTTGGCGCCTGGGGCATGACACCCTTGATTCTCATCTTTCCTCAATGGCTTCTCCTTCTCAGCCCCTTTTGAGAATTATTCCTTCTCCTGAGGGTTGAGAGAGCTCTCTAGGCCCACCCTTGGGCCTCTCCACCCTGGGGCCTCTTCTTCATCTGCTCCAGTTCCCTAGGTGACCCCATCTGGCTCTGAGAGTCACTTCGCAAGTACTACCAGCCAGGACGCTGCCCTCAGCCAGGACGCTGCCCTCAGCCCCAACTCTCCTCCAGCCTCCTCGTGTCCCATCAGGTGTCCCCTGCCCAGAACTGCAGTCCTAGTCTCACCTCCCCTGCTTCTCTCCCTGGGCCCCCCCTCGACATCAGTAAATGGCATGATTTATAGTTACTCTGCTGAAAACCTAGCAGCTATCCTCGATTCTTCTTTCTCACACACCATACCCAGTCTGTGAGCCAGCCTGTCAACTCTGCCCTCAAAAAACACTGTTTCCACTGCTGTTGCTCTAGTCTGAGGCACAGCCCTCACTCTTCCACTGCATCCATGACCTCCTAACCTGTCTCCTTGACCCCACTCTTGCTCCTCAAAACCAGAGCCAGGTTTTAAAAGTTCAACTCTTACCATGCCACTGGTTTGTTAAACTTAGAATAAAATCCAAGGCCCTTCCACAGTGGACCAAGTCATTTGTGATTTGGCCCCTACCTTCCTCAGTGACTCCTTTATTACCACCCTCTGGGGGTTTGTACCTGCTGTTACCTTCACCCAGTGGCCCCATCACAGGCTCCCTGACTTAGTGCAAGTCTCTGCTTCATTGCCACCTCCTCCAGGCAGCCCTCCCTGACCTCCCTATGAGGGAGCTCCACTCCCCTGTCCCTCTCCGTTCGCTTTCCTGGCTTGACTTTTCTTCCTATCAACAACTGCTATCTGCCATACCTGTATTTTCTTATTGTCCATCTTCCACCCACTAGAATATAAGGTCCTTAAGGCAGGACTTTGGTCTGTTTCATATCAACTAAGTACCTTGCCACATAAGAAGTATTTCATAAGTATTTGTTACATGGACAAACCAGTAGGCAAAGGTAAGATGACTGACTGGATTCGGACCACAGTAGAGACCAGTGGTCCTGGCCAGCCTTCACATGGTCTGTGAAGGCTGCCATCTTCACAGACCATGACTAAAAGAACCCGAGGAAAACTAGCTGTTTTCAGGCCAAGGCCAACATCTTAACACTTTGCAAAGTAGGAAAGATCATCTTTGTGCCATAAGGCATGTAGCTTCTGCAGCTGTTTTAGAAGTTTCCAAGTGAGTCTTTGCTAAATCACTCCCAGTCCTCTCAGAGAACACTGCGGCTTTTCCTTCCCTCATTACTGGGGAGGGAGCAGGGTATAGGATGAACAGAAGGAATTTAGCCTTGGATCCAGGGGACTTAGGCCAGTGTCTCAAGCAGAATGAAATACACTATATGCTTGACTTAAGGTCTATTTAGATTTGCTCCTCCCTTCCCTAATTTGGTAGATTTCAAAAATATATGGGCTAGGGTCGCAACTTGGCAAATTAGTATATATGGCTTATGTTTTAAATGTGTAAATCAGTTGCATTCAGGTTCCTAGTGCCTTCGTTTAAATGATACCTTTGTATTATTGGTGTAAGTCACTCTAAAAGCCAAAAAAAAAAACCTCTTATTAGCTACAAGCAAGGATGTTTCTTTACAGACCACTTTGCCCAACCAAAAGCAGCCCATATATGTTAAATAATTTTTTAAAAATTAAAAAAATAAACATATCAGGCCGGGCGTGGTGGCTCACGCCTGTAATCCCAACACTTTGGGAGGCTGAGGTGGGTGGATCACTTGAGGTCAGGAGTTTGAGACCAGCCTGGCCAACATGGTGAAACCCCGACTCTACTAAAACTACAAAAATTAGCAGGGCATGGTGGCAGACGCCTGTAATCCAAGTTACTCGGGAGGCTGAGGCAGGAGAATTGCTTGAACCCGGGAGGCAGAAGTTGCAGTGAGCCAAGACTGCACCATTGCACTCCAGCCTGGGCAACAAGAGCAAAACTCCATCTAAAAAATAAAAATAAAAATAAACTTATCAGTTAGAAGGATAGTTTTCAGTCCTGTGCCCCACGCCGAAGAACACTGTGCCATCTCTGTTCTACTCTGTGATCTTGGAAACTAGAATTGCCAGTTTTACAGCCCATGTGTTCTGCTGATGGAGGGGTCTTCAGCTTTCCCTCCTCCACATTGGGAATGTGCTTACAGACCCCTTCATCCCAGTGGGAGAGGCTGGCTGGGAAGCAAAAACTGGTCCACTTGGGATGAAGACATCAAAGCTGATTCTGATCCAATTAGAAAAAGAGACTATTGTCCTCTTAATTCCCAAAGTTATCAGGCTGTTATGAATACTTAGCCAGTTTCCTTGGGGATTGCTGTGGCATTGACTTAGATCTGAAGCTCATTGATATTCACACATAATGACAAACCCCATTCCCCCATATGTGCAGGGAGCCTGGGAAGGCTGGGAGCCACTTGCTCTGTTTCCACTGGCAGATGAAGGCTTTCAGATTTGCACAGTGGCTGTAAAATGCTGTTTTTCGTCAGTTGGTCTTAAATGAATGTTAGTCTCTTGTGTCTCAGAAAGAAGAATGTGAACACTTTATTGGGAAAAAAATTTATAACTGTTTCCATTTATAGCACTTCAGAGAATGAACATGAGAAATAGTTTAAGCTGGTAATTTTAGCTATTAGGCCTGTCTGTGGAATTCCTGGAGACACTTATCCATCCGTGTTCAAGACAAAATGATTCTCTCCTCTGCAGCACACACTCTTCTTTTGTTCCATGGTGTTTCTGCCTCTGGTTTTTCTTTCTTTCTTTCTTTGTTTTTCTTTTTTCATTTTTTATAGAGACGAGGATCTTGCTATATTGCCCAGGCTGGTCTTGAACTCCTGGCCTCAGGCAATCCTCCCACCTCAGCTTCCTGAAGTGCTGGGATTTACAGGTGTGAGCCACAGCACTTGGCACTCTGGTTTTTCTTGAAGGCATCCTGCCCTTGATGTCTAGATGATTTTCATATCTGCCATATGTGGTTAATGAGCTTCTTAAACAATCTGCTATCTTCGATTACTATCACCTATTACAGAGAAGAACCACACATTTAAAGTTTACCAAGTATTTTCCTGGGGTTACTGGGATTGGCATGGACTGCTGAGGTCAGGGAGGAATTAGATACAATCTTGGCAAAAGAAACTTTTGGCCTTCTCTGCTCCGTGGCCACAATGTAAACCTTAAGTCCAGGTACAGTCTTGAAAATGCAAATTATTCATGGGATCGTGCAAGGGAAGATAGCTACTTTGATACAAATGTAATCTAGAAAGACACTTGCTGTAGTTCTGTTTCTTCTGTACTTCACCATTTGATTATTTCGGTTTCATCTCATGATTTTTTTCCACATCCAAAATCCATCCTAAGGCCAATAGAACTGATTTGCTGCAATTTAGGAATCCCTTTCAAATGTCTTCAGGGACTAGGTCATTTATCTATGTTAATTTGTTTTAAAGAAGCTGTTGGAGGTGAAATAATTGGAAATTGTAGAAGACAACTGGGGAGAGTGAGGACTATAGTTAGTTACAGGCCTTGCCTAAAAGTTACTCAAATATAAACCTTAAAAAGGCTGTGTGGGTCAACCAACACACATCTGATTAGTCCCAGGAGCTGGTTGTTTCTGGGATACTGGTTGCCTAGAGGGTGTGTTTTTATCATCTCTCAGGATTTGGTTACCTGTCCCCAGGCCTCCTTTGTTCTGGTCTGAGGGTCTTGTGCTGAGGGCAAGACCCACTCTGTCCAGCCTGCCTCGGAGGGTGTCTCATGCATTGCCTCTGAACTCCAGAAGAAGCCATTTGGATGGGAAGGAAGACTTGGGGTCAGGGTAGCTTCAAGTTATGGCCTGAGCAGAGTGGGTTTGTGGGCTCATGAGAAATGCCATTAGTTTCCTCCTTACGGTCCTGGAGTCAGGCATGGGTAAATTCCAACTCTGCTGCTTACAAGTAGTATAGCTTTAGGAGGCAAATTGCTTGGCCTCTCTAAGCCTCATTTTCTACCTTTGAGAATGGGATAATGATAATTGAGTTTTCATGAGATAAAATAAAACAATGTAGGTCAAGCACTTAGCACAGTGCCCAGTGCATAGTAAGCACGACATTAGCATTAACCATGGCTGTTGGGACTTAGAGACTTTCTAGATGTGCCATGGCGAACTCCTGAAATTAATTGCAAAATGCTGTGTTGATGTGTACTTTGTTTTTTCCTGCTCTATTACCCTTCATCAGATTCTAAATATGGACCAAGATAGAATAGGAACTTTGATGTTAAGGGAAGCTGAGTAAGTTGTTACAGAACTCAGATGTTTGAGAATTGACAATCAAGTCCTCCTGGACCTAGAAGCATAAGAATTCTGTTAGATTAGCTCTTGCCACCCCTGTCAGAACTTAACTGTTCATAGATTTATGTTATTGACCCACTTTCTTCAAGAGCAGAGGCAGTTTTTCAGGCAGTGCTGACGCCAGAATTGGAAAAGCAGATTCTCATTTAACAAACATGACCTCAGTAAAAACAGCCATGTTGTTGGTCTCCATTTGAAGGCAGAGGTAGGGATTGGGAGTATGTGATTAATAAACCCAGAGGGACTATGAAGGTCACTGCTGATGTTATGACCAGATGCAGGAACGTCCAGAGGAAGGCTATGCTTCGTGTCAGGGCCATAGAGCAGAGCGTTTCCATGTATCTTCTGTCACAGCCCCTATACCTTCCTTGTGCACCCAGGAGAGGAGTGATTTCTGCAACAACACAGAGGCCTAGCCTGCAGGAGAGTGACCTTGGAAACGTGGCTGAGGGTCATCCTTCACTGTCATCTCCCGGTGGGCCTGTGAGCTCCCTAACTACCCCCTCCCGCCCCTACCCTCCTCCTGGGCCGAAAACAACCAAGAGACTAATGAGGCAATGGAAGAATCACACTCTGTCTGTTCTGGGCTCTGTCTGTTCTGTTACAATTTTTTTCAGACCTGATTTAAAGTGCTCAGAAAACTTGCAAGGGGCACATGGCTTCTAGGGGACCCAGCTATTGGAAATCTTTGATTGTTCTTGCACTTAGGATAACTCTGAAGAGTGACCTTATCTTTTGTTTGTTTTCTTTGTTTATGCAATGGGGTGTTTTTAGGTGATTGAATAGAAATTCGTGAAGAAAAAGTAAGATGGATAAAAGGATGGATAGAAGAACAGATCTAGCTAAGTAGGTGATAAGACAAGTATAGCAAAATGTAAATGATAGGCTGTAGTCTAAATAGTGGTTATAAAGGTGTTCACTGTAAAAAAGCTTTCAACTTACTGGCTTTTTTCTGGAGTATGTGAAAAGAAATGCTTTCAACTTTCCTATATGTCTGAAATTTTTAATAATAAAATATTGGGGGAAATGAGTTGAAATATCTGGAAAAATAAAATTTAGATAATGGCTAGAGAAAATTTTCATGGATTTGGGATTCAACATACCACCCCCAGCCTCATTATTATCCCCATTGTGTTCAAGCTCTCTCTTCCTCGTGGCTTATTCATTCGGTCTTGATCATCTCTGGCCATCATGTTCTAAGTGATGTGGATACGATGGTGGGACAAGGTGGCTCTCTGACTGTGGAACATGCATCCTTTCACTTTTCTGGGGGAGTGGAGACAGACAAGCAATAGTGAGATGTTCTATAAAAAAGAAAAAAAATACCACGGAAACAGAGTGAGGAGAGGGTTCAGCTGCCTTACGGAGAGGGCTCAGGAAAGGCCTCTCCAAGGTAAAATAGAAGGGGACCCTCGAAGTCAAGTAATACCTGGGGAAGCCCTAGCTTGTGCGGAGAGCCTCTGTATGTTGTGCAGAAAACTGTCTTCAAAAATTGGAAGATTTCTGAAGAAGTAGGTCTATTTGGTGACTGGAACCAACTGCTCATTCATAGTTGCAGAATTGCCCCAGCCATATAAAGAGGAGATCTGTTTATTTATTTATTTGGCAGAGTCTTGCTCTGTCACCCAGGCTGGTGTGCTCTTAGCTCACTACAGCCTCCACCTCCCAGATTCAAGCGATTCTTCCACCTCAGAGTCCTGAGTAGCTGGGACTACAGGCGCACATCATTAATTTTTGTATTTTTAGTAGAGACAGGGTTTTGCCATGTTGGCCGGGCTGGTCTCAGGCTGGTCTCAAACTCCTGGCCTCTCAAAGTGCTAGGATTACAGGCATGAGCCACCACACCCAGCCAAGAGATCTCTTCTTTTGCTGTGTATATTTTTTAAATTATCATACAGTAAATTTGACTTTTAAGGGTGTGTGTACAGTCCTATGAGTCTTTTTTTTTTTTTTTTCAATAAAGACAAGGTCTTACTATGTTGCCCAGGCTGGTCTTGAACTCCTGGGCTCAAGCAGTCTTCCCACCTCAGCCTCCCGAAGTGCTGGGATTACAGGCATGAGCCATGACAGCACCCAGCCCAAGTCCTATGAGTTAACACATGTATTCATTTGTGCAACCACCACCATGATGAGGAGGCAGAACAGTTCCATCCCTCCAGAGCTCCCTCCTGCTATGCCTGATAGTCACACCCTTCCCTCCCCCAGCCCCGGCAACCACCAATCTGTTCTCCATGGTGGTAGTTCTGTCTTGTGTGAATATCATATAAATGGAGTCATGCAGTATATAAGCTTTTGAGGCTGGTTTCTTTTACTCAGCATAATGTCCGTGAATATGTTTCTAAGCCTCCAAGGGGAGACATGTTGAGAGTCCTAGCTAAAAGGCTTTTGTTTTGCTGGGAATGATGAGAAGAGCAGAAACAGCATGAAAATGGTGATGGATGGTGAGAACCAAAAACAGGAATGGGAGATCTAGAGGTGGATGCTGGAAGAAGGGTGCTGGCGAAGGAACCTAGGAATGGAAAGGGGGATCTTTTTTAAAATATTTTGAGGCCGGGCATGGTGGCTCATGCCTGTAATCCCAGCACTTTGGGAGGCCAAGGCAGGTGGATCACTTGAGGTCAGGAGTTCAAGACCAGCCTGGACAACATGGTGAAACCCCATCTCTACTAAAAATACAAACATTAGCTGGGTGTGGTGGCGGGTGCCTGTAATCCCAGCTACTCAGGAGGCTGAGGCGGGAGAATCGCTTGAACTGGGGAGGCAGAGGTCGCAGTGAGCCGAGATCGTGCCACTGAACTCCAGCCTGGGTAACAGAGCAAGACTCCGTCTCAAATAATAATAAAAATAATAAAGTAGGGTCTCACCGTGATGCCCAGGCTCGTCTTGAACTCCTGGCTCCAAACGATCCTCCTGCCTCTGCCTCCCAAAGTGCTGGGATTACAGGTGTGAGCCACCACATCCAGCCTAAAATTTTTCTTTACTAATTTTTTTTTTTTTGAGACAGGGTCTTTCTATGTTGCCCAGGCTGGCCTCAAACTCCTGGGCTCAGGCAGTCATCCTGCCTCTGCCTCCCAAGTAGCTGAGACTACAGGCGATTATAATGTTTTCTTCTATAAATGTGCAATGTAAATCTCTTTTGTTTTCCCCAACTATAGTATTGGGTCATTGAGTTGAATTTATTTGGGCAATGTACCAAGAGACTCCTTTCCCAAGGTGCAAGTAGGCCCAGGACAGAGGCTGCCCATCAAGTTTAGACCATCCCAGTTACAGACACAAGATGCAGGAGGGGAACTTTTAGCTTAGTAAAAGAAGAAACAACGGAGTAAAAGAAGTGCTTGCCTCTCAGTAACCTGGGCATCTCTTCCCAAAAAGCAGTCAGAAGCACCCAGCCAATTGAGATGTCATAGAGGCCCATGCTGGGAGAGTGGTTGGAGAGCGCTACCCAGCTCTTAAAAATACTGAAATCCCTGAGTGAATCTAGCATTTTGTGCACGTGTGACGGCTCCAGGGTAGAGCAGCAGGCCCCTGTGTTCCCAGCCATGCTATCTTAAGGATGAACCCTCGCCTGGCCTCCCTAAGATTGCACGTATAGAATGGCCTTGTAAACTACAAACCTTTTGAGGTGTTTTTGTTATTACTGTCCATTTCTGCACCTTTGTGGTTAAGAAGGCCTGCAAGATAATTAAAAGAGGGGAAAAAAGGGCCACCCTGTTTTCCGTTGGCAAGGATGCATTGCCATGTTCCTCTGGTTACCGCCAGAGCAAAGCACGCACTAGGTCCTGCTATATAATGATGAATCCCCAGGGACCCCCGATAGTGATCGATAGCACCCGCCTAACTCTGGGGCTTGCATAATGAGCTGCGTAGCCCTGCCAGAGTCATCATCCAGCCTCGGGGAAACCTCCCCTCCCCCACTGTCCACTTGTACAGCAAATGTCCCCCTCCCCACCGGTCCCCTCGGTTGGGTTTCCTTTTGATTGGCAGAGACCCTGTGATTTCCGCCTGGATTGCCTGACAGCCCCCCTCCGCCTGGTCTAATTATGCCAGGGCTGTTCTTGGGCCACAGCGACCCCAGGAAGGCTTTATCAGATTGTCCAACTGACCGTGACCAGATCTCCAGCACCTGCCTCTTTTGCTGACTGAGGATGGAAGGTGTTTACACACAGCGGAGCTGGCAGCTGATTGACTGGCCAGGGTCCTGGGCTGAGGACGGCCAGTCTGAGTGTCAGTGATGAAAAATGGGGTCTGCCTCTCCACCCAGCCTCATTAACACCCCTCTGGCTCCAGGCGGTATCAGGTGGGGTGTGTGCAGGCACACAGCCTGCTGCCAGTGTTCAGGGCCTCCTGACAGATTTCTGGCTGCAGTGCTGGACTTGGGTCCATCTCTTATCATTTTAATTTATTTACAAATATTTATTTATTTTATAAATGTTCCTATGTGTGTTTAAGCCCTCCGCTTTCTCCACCTCTCTGGTTACAGTTACCCATCCCCTGCTTCTTGTTCATCCGTCAACAACTCACCCTAAGTATGACCTCCTCACCTCTGTCTTCCACTCTCACACCTTTTCTTCCAGCGTCAGCTTTCATGGAAGCCAGTCAATAATTCCTGTTTGCAGGCCGATTTATTAGTGTGATTAAAGTTCTGTTTCTGAATAGAAGCTTTGGTGCTGCCTGCCTTTTCCAGGTACCCAAGGGTGATTCTGGTTATACAAAGAGGTTCTGTAAGGCAGCTCAGACATTGGGGCCAATCCTTCTGGTCACTCTGGCAAATGGCCCATTTTGATAAGAACATTAAATCATCCAAATCCTTTAGGGTTACACGGGGGTCATTTGCTCATTAATCACCAGTGGCCTGAGAAGCTAAAGGTTTCCCAAAGCTGAGCCATCTCTGCCCTACAGGATGATGTGACGTGGCCCATTGTCTCAGTTCAGCTGAGCATCCCTGGGCTGAGCCCAGTTCTTCTATCTGAGACATGGATTGGGCCTTACAGCCCAGAGTGAGGTCTCTGCACCAGCAGCATCGGCATTACCTGGGGGCTCGTTAGAAATGCAGACTCTCAAAAGCCCCACCATAGACCTCCTGTATCAGAGCCCTGTTTGGACAAGATCCCAGGGATTCATGTGCATGGCACAGTTTGAGATGCTCTGCATTATCAATCCAGGTAGGGAAGCCCTCCTTTAGATTTACCAAGAAGCTGGAGAACTCAGCAACTTACTTCCATAAAACTGGCTAGTGAAGCATTCTCTCTTCCTTCTGGCTTTAGAAAGGATCTTATTAGGAGATAAGAAAGCCAGTTGGAAGCCTGGTTGCTGAGAGTAAGGAACCAAATGTGGCCCCTGGGACTAAGTTTCCTGGCAGCTGTGTCTCCTTATTCTTGGGGAAATATTTTGCAGTTGAAAGACCACCTACAAAAAATAGTATCCTCAACGGTCACCTTGTGATGCTACCCTCTATGCTGGCTGGCATTTAGTTATAATATTCTGTCCTGACCCATGCTCTAATTTGCCTTTGATTAAATTTGGAACTTTGAAGCTTAGATTTATGAGATGGTATTTTTTCTCAATATATACTTTGATACTTGCTAAATGGATATATGCTACTTCTTTAATCAAGACTTTTTTACAGGCTGGGTGTGGTGGCTCACACCTATAATCCCAGAATTCTAGGAGGCCAAGGTAGGCGGATCACTTGAGGTCAGGAGTTCGAGATCAGCCTGGCCAACATGGTGAAACCCCATCTCTACTAAAAGTACAAAAATTAGCTGAGCATGGTGGCACGTGCCTGTAATCCCAGCTACTCCAGAGGCTGAGACATGAGAATCACTTGAACCCAGGAGGTGGAGGTTGTAGTGAGCTGAGGTCGTGCCACTGCACTCCAGCCTGGGTTACAGAGCGAGATTCCATCTCAAAAAAAGAAAAAGATGGCCGGGCACGGTGGCTTACGCCTGTAATCCCAGCACTTTGGGAGGCCGAGGCAGGCGGATCACGAGGTCAGGAGATCGAGAATGTCCTGGCTAACACTGTGAAACCCCATCTCTACTAAAAATACAAAAAAAAAAAAAAAATTAGCTGGGCATGGTGGCGGGCGCCTGTAGTACCAGCTACTTAGGAGGCTGAGGCTGGGGAATGGCGTGAACCCGGGATGCGGAGCTTGCAGTGAGCCGAGATCGTGCCACTGCACTCCAGCCTGGGCGACAAAGCGAGACTCCATCTCAAAAAAAAAAAGAAAAAGACTTTTTAAAATTTTATAACTAATGCATTCAACATAGACAAACTTAAAAAATATGGATCATGAAAAGCACATTACAAGGCCAGGCACGGTGGCTCATGCTTGTAGTCCCAGCATTTTGGGAGGCCGAGGTGGGCGAATCACCTGAGTTCAGGAGTTTGAGACCAGCCTGGCCAACATGGTGAAACCCCGTCTCTACTAAAAAAAAGAAAAAAAAATTAGCCAGGTGTGGTGGTGCATGCCTGTAATCCCAGCTACTTGGAAGGCTGAGGCAGGCTAATTACCTGAACCTGGGAGGTGGAGGGTGCAGTGAGCCAAGATTGCGCCACTGCACTCCAGCCTGGGCAACAGAGTGAGACTCTGTCTCCAAAAAAAAAGAAAAGAAAAGAAAAAAGAAAAGTACGTTACATCAATCTATCTCACTGCTTGGAGTTTGTGTCAAGATGTTGATGTGCATATAGATATTTTCTTTACAAAAGTGTGATCTCACTTTTAATACTATTTTAAAACCTGCTTTTCACTCAATGTATTATAAATATCTTTCCAAATCAATAAATACAGCTCTTCTACATGTTCATTTTCAATGCCCTACAAGGTATTTCATTATATGAAATGTTCTATATTACAATGGTCTTAATGTTTGTGTCCCCTCCCCACCCCAGATTCATATGTTGATACCTAATCACCAATGGGATTATATTAGGAAGTGAGACCTTTGGGAAGAGGCCCCAGAGAGCTGCTTCGGCTCTTCCACCGTGTGAGGATGCAGGGAGAAAGTGCCATCTATGAACCAGAAAGCAGGCCCTCATTGGACACTTATCTCCCTTGATCTTGTACTTCCCAGTCTCCAGAACCATAAGAGATGAATTTCTGTTGTTTCTAAGTCACCTACCTACATTATGGTATTTTGCTAGAACAGCTCAAACGAACTAAGACATATATAATGGACTTATGTAATCCATCGCCTATTACTAGGTATTTTGATTTATAGTTTATTTGTCCTCTGTTATATCAGCACTGCTGTGAACTTCATCTGTACCAAAATATTTCCATACAGTCTCAATGACTTGTTTGGGATAATTTTTTGAATAATATCAAAGTGTGACATTTGAATAAGAGAAGAGGCACAGTGTTCCAAGAGCTAGAAGGTGAAGGTAAGCCTTGCTTCCATCCTGCGATGTAGCTTCGTGTCTGTGAATAGCAAGCAACTTCAGATGAATAAGCTATCAACATACTGGAACTCGGTGGTGCAGCTTCCTTGTGGGGATGACTCTTAGGAATCATCTGGATTTTCTGAAGAAAACAAATCATTTGGGTTCTGGCCTTCATTGCCCTGCCCAGCGGGAGTCCCCGAAGGGCTGTGCTAGAATTTCAGAGCATGGTTGGCACAGCGTTGGTGAAGGTTACAGGATTGTCTAGACAAAAGGGCCCAGGGGAGGCACAGAGGCTCTGTTAGTGGGTGGAAGGGATGATGCTGTGTGTATGTATTGAGCCACACCCTGGATTTCAGTAGGAGCCAGAATAATTCTGAGGCTTGGGTGTGGGCAGCTGTGCTAAACAGGGAACTCAGGGTGGTTTCAAGCCAGTACAGAGCTAGGACCTGGGATCTAAGATTGGAGCAGACACACATGGAGAAGCAGATAGCGGAATCAGGATCAGCTGTCTGAGTGGGAAGGTCTTAGAGAACCCTTGCTAGGTGTTCACCAGGAAGATGCCCACACCTGTACACTGGATGGGGGTGCATGTTCCTGGGCCAGGAGGGACCACGCTGGGTGTTCTGCTTGCTGAGACAGTGGTTTGGGTGGAGGTTCCCATTCCTGGAATGCCTAGAACTTTGCTGCTTGGCCCAGTATGTTCTGGGCTCCCCCATTTAAGGCAACTATGACCACTTTCATTGCCACCACCTCCTCCTAGCTTGAAACAACCTCCCCTGCTTTGCTCTATCTGTGCCACAATTAAGGAGCTTCCCATTTTCTTCATTATATTGCGGGTAGTTATATGTGTATCTTAGGAAAAGTAGTATGGTGTGAGGAAAGCACCCAAGGACTTTGAGTCCACTGCCTCTTCACTTAATGTTCTGGCTCCTCCAATTGCTGCATCACCCTTGGGTAAGCTAATTAACTTCTCTGAGCCTGAGCATCCGCATTTATTAAACAGGGATTAGATACTTACCTCGCAGGGTGGTTGTAAGGATTAGAAGTAATGACATATAAAGCACCCCTCCCACAATTTAGTGTCTGGCCAGATGGTGGGTGTTGAGATTGTCCGTTATTACTGAGGACTTAATGTGGTCTAGTCTGTAAGGGTTGACAGATCATTGTGGCAGATCCCAGACATGCTTATTATGTTAGCAGTAGGGGCCCTGAGGTCAAAAGGCTTAGGACAGCTATCCTGCCTCCCAGACCTGGGAGGAAAAGAGAGAGAAAGAGGGGCTCCAGGGCAGTTGTCAGAGTTAGGAAGGTGCTGAGTCGCCACAGGCATCAGAGGAGGATTTTCTGAATGGGTACAGTGAGGACCCAGTGGTGCTCTCTCCTCAAACCTACCTGTTGGGAACCAGATCAGCCCAGCAGGCTGGTAGCAGAGCCATGGCCTGGGAACCTGGGTCAGCCTCACTGTCTTAGCTCCAGACTCACCCACTCCCTTTGCAATGCTGTGCTGTGTAGTGGTAAAGCCTGCACACGCTAGGTCCCATTCCTGCGCCATTCTTCCTGCTTGTGTGACCTCAGGCAAGCCCCAAACAGCCTTGTGACTCAATGTTCTCATCTGTACAATAGGGATTATGGCACCTATCGCATAGGGTCCTTGTGAGGATCAAATGTTTATTTATGAAAAGCATTTAGAGACTGGGCACGGTGGCTCACGCCTGTAATCCCAGCACTTTCGGAGGCTGAGTCAGGTGGATCACTTGAGGTTAGGAGTTTAAGACCAGCCTGACCAACATTGTGAAACCCTGTCTCTGGCCAGGTGTGGTGGCACGCACCTGTAGTCCCAGCTATTTGGGAGGCTGAGTCAGGAGAATCACTTGAACCCGGGAGGCCAAGGTTGCAGTGAGCCGAGATCGCACCATTGCACTCCAGCCTGGGTGACGAAAGCAAAACTCCATCTCAAAAAAAAAAAAAAAAAAGAAGAAGAAAGAAAAGAAAAGCATTTAGAATAGTCACTGGCTGTAAAAGTTATTTTCTCTGTGAGTGTTAGCACCTTCTAGAGTTTAGATCTTTATGTGTCGGGCCTTTTGTCTTAACATCTGATTTCTTCTTGAGAGTAGAATCCCTGTCTGGTCCATTTAACCCCCACTGTACATAGTATAAAGTTAAGGATTCATAAATAAGTGTCAGACAGATAGGTTGGGGAAGCTCAGGCTATGACGCCAAATAGATCTGAGTTCAGATTCTGGCTTTGCCCCTAACTCTGTCTGGATCTTTGACTTCTCTGGTCTCATTTCCTCATCTGTATAATGGAATAAAATAGTAGGCTCTTTATAGGATTATAATGAGGATTAAAGTAAAGAACAGACCGGGCATGGCAGCTCACTCCTATAATCCCAGGACTTTGGGAGGCTGAGGCAGAAGGATGACTTGAGCCAGGGGTTCAAGACCAGCCTTGGCAACATAGCAAGACCCCATCTCTATTTAAAAAGATAAATATAAATATATAAAGAACACATTGCAAAGCATGTGGCAGTAGTGAGCTTTCAGGAACTGGTGGTGCTAATGAATAAATAGCACCTTAGTAATGCTCATTCTATCTCACTCACAAACTGGACAGTTCATGCATTTGCTGGGGTTTCATTTTGAAGTAAGAGGATGGTTTGTTTCTGCTTAGTTTTCCCCAGTGACTGAGAACCCTAGCAAGAAAACGAAACACCTGTGCAGACACATTATACCCATGGAGCTGCATTTCTGTATGTACTTTTTGCAGGCCATTATCAGACATTACACTGCCCCAGAGGTTAATTGTAATCTCCAGAGTCCATTGCACTTCCACAGTGGCTGGGATCTTTGGCCACTTTCCCAGCCTGTTTATGGGGAGCCTGACCTGAAGCACATCTCCTAAGTGTTTTCCAAGTTGGCACTGAGTCTCTCCGACTTGGAAATGCCAGCACACAGCTTTGTGTGTGCAATGATTTAGCTCTTATGAAGGCGCCAGTGAAATGCCCACTCCTACCCGGGTGTTGGACATTTTGGAGACCTGGAAAGAAGTAAGCAGTGTTATTGACAAGCACAGGCCCTGCAGGGGACTGTGGGAAGTTAGGCATGATTCTGTCCCTTGTGCCTTAACAAGGACTGGTGAGGACACTCAGCCATTCCCTCAGTGCATCAAAATGGAGGCCAGCACATTGTATAGCCTTAGTTTCTCTATCAGGGATTAGGGTGATAATGATTAACCAGAGGACTTAGGGTCAACTAATCCCCAAAGTGGTTCTCAGAATACTATGAAAATGTAGCACAGGAAAAGGTTCCATGGCCAAATATATTTAGAAAATGCAATGCACTGTCTTTCCTTCTTTGCATTTTATAATATGCAATTTGCATATTCAAGGCCCTGAGAAGTCCTGCAGTAAGGAAACAAACTTAACCTTGTTCAGTCCAGCAGCACCCAAATCAAATTTCCATGAGCATCTTTTTCCCTTTAACATCCCCAGCAGCTAGGAAAAACACTGAAGAAATTCTAGATTATCTAATTATCCCCAAAGTTTATTTTTATTTTTTTAACTTTTTTTTTTAGTTTTTTTGTATTATATCCTGCTCCTTCTGTAGATTGCAAAAGTTTATAACAAGTGATATGTGAATATTAAGAAAGGAGAATCTGAGCCAGGCGCAGTGGCTCACGCCTGTAATCCCAGCACTTTGGCAGGGCGAGGCGGGCAGATCACAAGGTCAGGAGTTTGAGACCAGCCTGGCCAACACAGCGAAACCCTGTCTCTACTAAAAATACAAAAATTAGCCAGGTGTGATGGCAGGCACCTGTAATCCCAGCTACTTGGGAGGCTGAGGCAGGACAATCGCTTGAACCCGGGAAGTGGAGGTTGCAGTGAGCTGAGGCTGTGCCATTGTACTCCAGGCTGGGCAACAAGAGCACGACTCCATCTCAAAAAAAAAAAAAAAAAAAAAAGAGAATCTGTTGTTTTGTTTCATTTTGTTTTTGAGACAGAGTCTTGCTCTGTCACCCAGGCTGGAGTGCAGTGCTCATTATAAGCTCTGCCTCCTGGGTTCAAGCGATTCTCCTGCCTCAGCCTCCTGAGTAGCTGGGATTACAGGTGTGACCACCACACCTGGCTAATTTTTGATTTTTGTAGAGATGGGGTTCACCATATTGGCCAGGCTGGTCTGGAACTCCTGACCTCAAGTGATCCACCCACCTTGGCCTCCCAAAGTGCTAGGATTACAGGCATGAGCCACCGTACCCAGCCAAATCTGTTTGTTTTTTTTTTTAAATAAGACATTTAGGAAATGAAATGAAAAGTATTTGATAACTTCTTTTGTAGCCACTCACTCCTAGATTTTATCATGAAGAATTGCATGACTTACCAATCCACCACCCTCTTGAAATACCAGGGTCATGACATGCCAAAAGCTACCTCCACGGGCTAAGACCTGAACTTGAGTAACAAAGGTAAAATTTGAAATTTCAAAGATGTTCTTTATGAGACCCTAGATTAACTGGGGTTGCATCCAAATGGTTTCATTTGAACTTTTAAATACATACTTCTGGCTGGGCACGGTGGCTTACGCCTGTAATCCCAGCACTTTGAGAGGCTGAGTCGGGTAGGTCACCTGAGGTCAGGAGTTCGAGACCAGCCTGGCCAACATGGTGAAACCCTGTTTCTACAAAAAATACAAAAATTAGCTGTGTGGGGTGGCAGGTCCCTGTAATCCCAGCTACTCAGAAGGCTGAGGCAGGAGAATCACTTGAACCTGGGAGGTGGAGATTGCAGTAAGCTGGGATCACACCATTGCACTCCAACCTGGGTGAGAGAGCAAGACTCCATCTCAAATACGTACATACACACGTACTTCTCAGCCAAGTGGGCACCTACTGTTCTGCTAAGGGATGGAGACATGGACCTGCAGGTTCGCATTCTCCTGGATCTGAGAGGTTATTAGGTCACGTCTGAAGCCTCCATGCCAGCTAAACAAGGAACAGTGGATCAGCAGCGCACCTTGTTTATTGTTGTAGTGCTCCAGTCGTCCATCCCTCTCTCCCCTTGTCTTCTGTGACTGGTCAAGCTAATTTGATTTGACGTCCTGGCATTTGAGATTTGTCAAGTATTGTAACCCTAAGCAGTACTAATATTGAAACCCATACTTGAAATTTATGTAATCCAGATGTGCATGCCAATAAAGCAGAGATGAAATGGCAGGCCCGGATGGGGGAGAGCCAGGCTGGGTGGGGACTGTGTGTGGGGAAGAATTCTGTGGCCCTATATTTTTTCCACATGGTATATACAGCCAAGTAGGATTTTAGGAATTAATATTTTCCCTTAAGAGTAGTAACTGGATTATGAAGTATAGCTTCAAGTAAGTACCAGTATTGGTTTTATTTGTAGCCAAGAATAACTGATTAAGTTTTGAGGAGAAGGAAGGCAATCTATTTTGAGTGCTTTTTAAAACTTTTAAATTGGTTAGGACCCTTCAACAGTGTGGTCTTGGGACTTATTAGTCACATCGAATCAGAACTTTTTTTTTTTTTTTTAACCAAACAAGCAGCACTGGTGAACCAGGATTTGTGACATGGCTCTCTGATGTTGAATTTTTTCTATTTGAGCATATCATTAGAAGTCCCCCCTAAGAAACAAAGACTGTGACCCCTGAGTTGTCAATTCAAAGCCCTCCCACACTGGTAATACCCAAATGCCATTTCTATTTTCTGAGAGCTCAATGAGTAGGTGGATTAAATGTGAAAAGGTTTCTGTTCAGGTATTTGACAGTGGCCTTGATTGGAGCCTCTCTACCGTCTAGCAATGGCCCTGTTGTGTGACTTCCAGGACGACAGCTGTCTTCTCGGGCCATGACCTCTTCCACCTGTGGGATCACAGGACTGTGTCCAGCTGACCCAATGAGAATGGTATAAGTGCTTTATCTCATAGGGAGTTCTGAGTCAAAAATTTTGGTGTTCTTGACATGAAAGATTGGCAGAGTGTATTATTATTCCTTAGTGTTCTGTGCATAATTAACAACCACCCTTAACTAGACCTGGTAGCCCAGGGAAACTGGTCAGACCAGCTAGTGAAAGCAGGTGGAAAATGATCTCGAGGGAAGCACGGAGTCGGGATCCACATTGAGTGGAGGTGACTTGTAGTGGATTAGGGTGCTCATAAAAACCGTGGTTGCAGTTGGTACCAGTGTCATCTGTGGATATTTCTAGGCAGGATATCAAGGGTCAGCTTGCTACTTTAGCCCCCTCTTAAGGCAGGATACAAAAAAAAAAGAGAGCCCTGTATTCAGGGGAGGCATGTGACATGCCATGGTCCCCCATTTCCCCTGCCCTAAACATCTCTGGAGAAAGTCAAGTGTGTGTGGCTTCTACAGCAGGGCTGGATGTTTTTCCCTGGGGTAGGAGGGGCATTTACCTGCTTTTCTTCAGCCATTATTAATAGGGCTCATTCCAGGAGGGGAGGAGAATGGTGCCTGTAACTCAGACTCCCCAGCACAGCCTCGGCCTGCAGGCTTCAGCCCTGTTGGAGTCAGGGCTTGCGTAAGGAATGCTGTCATGGATCCAAGCCAGATAGATTACAAATGATGGAATCTGATGTTTCCTGTTGGGTTTGGGGAAGGGATTCAATGTGGTGTGGGCTTAGGTCCCCACAGTTTACCTCAGAAATAGTCAAGATGCAGGGAGCTGAATGAGGACTCTCGAGGCAGCTTTGCCAGCCTGGAGCCCAGGTGAGTCACTACCACCTCAGAAACATCCTTCAGAGGCCAGGATTCAGGCCCCAGGCGGGAGTCGGAGCATCCAGGCTGCTGGTCCGGTTCTCTCCACTGACGTCATCACCCCCGCTTAGTCTGGAATGGCTGGCAACCTCTGCCTGAGGATGAGAGCTGGCTGGAAGTGGAAAAGCAGGAAATGTTTCCAGATTGGAAACTCAAGGCACGTTTGCGCAATACTGCACTCGGCCAAGACTGTGTGGCTGACCTGCATGCCTAATGGGATCCCAGGTCTGAAACAGGGTTCTGCAGAACCATTGGTCTGACCTCATACCTCCCACCTAGACACAATGATATCTTCTTGGCCAAGAAAAAATGACCTGTATTTTTCTTTTCTTTTTTAATGTTATCCAGCTGAGGTGTGCCTTTAAAAAAAAGAAAAAAATATATACATACACACACACGCGTGTGTGTGTGTGTGTGTGTATATTCCAATCCACTACTTAACGCAGGGATGCAAAGATCATATTAAAACGGCTATAACCAGAAATAAGACAACTGAAAGAATCATAGTATTAATAAAGGGCAAACTGAGAGTCCAGGTGAGAGGAACTGCAGTCTCTGGTGATGGAGTGCAGCCTGGTGGTTTAGAGCTCCAAAATGGAGGCCCGTCAGCCTGGGTTTGAATCCTGGCTCTGTGGCTTACTAGCTGTGACCTTGGCTTCTGTCATCTTCTGTTCTTTTACTTATTGTAAGAAAGGGTGATAGTGCCACATCATGAATTAGTCTAAGACTCGAGTGCACTTCCACGCAAAGTAAGTCCTTAGTAACTGGTAGCTGTTATCATAGTTAAATATCTTTTTTTTTTTTTTTTTTTTTTTTTTTTTTGAGACGGAGTCTCGCTCTGTCGCCCAGGCCGGACTGCGGACTGCAGTGGCGCAATCTCGGCTCACTGCAAGCTCCGCTTCCCGGGTTCACGCCATTCTCCTGCCTCAGCCTCCCGAGTAGCTGGGACTACAGGCGCCCGCCACCGTGCCCGGCTAATTTTTTGTATTTTTAGTAGAGACGGGGTTTCACCTTGTTAGCCAGGATGGTCTCGATCTCCTGACCTCATGATCCACCCGCCTCGGCCTCCCAAAGTGCTGGGATTACAGGCGTGAGCCACCGCGCCCGGCCAAATATCATTATTTTTGAGGCAGGGTCTCACTTGTTATAATTATTGTTATTCCTTCCCTCCAGCCTGCTTTAGAGTGATGCCCATGATGCAGTCAAAGGTGTCTGAGTTCCTTTCACTTTTCTAGATCGTTGCCCCAGTACTAGTGCATAAAGGGATGCAAGGTTTTAGGAACTTTGACCTTGAAGCCAGACTGTGTAGCCACCGTCACTTCTCTCTGGGAGGCTGTTGTCAGATCAGGCCCTGTTCCATCCCTCTCCTCGGAGGTCTGCCAGTGTTACTCAGCCATGAAGCCCATCAAGGGGCCACAGTTCAGATGGAGGAGGAGTCTTTAAGCAGAAGACAGAATGCCTGGGGATGCTGTTGTCTGGGGTCAAATGCTGGCTTCGTCCAGTGGAGAAGTGAGTAGAACCAGCCCACTGTATCCCTTCTGCATCCCCTGCCAGCTTACTCTCTGAAGCAGCAAACCTGGAGTCGGTCGAGGTTCCCCAACAGAGAGACCCCGGGCCTTGCAAGAGCAGGCCTGGACAGCCTGGAGTTTTCTCTCAAAATTGTAACATGGGTTTATTCCAAAACAAAGCAACAAAAGTAGACCCCTGGTGTATCCTTGGCTCACTTCCATAAAGCATCACAACCATTAACCAAAGGAAAAGAAGGCCTGAGCCCTGTGGCGGAAGTCAGGCCAAGATTTTCCTCACTCCCCTCCCTTTCTGGGACCCAGGAATAGTAAAAATAGTAAACATAATTATAACAAAAAATTTAAAAAAATTTTTTTAATTTAAAAAAAGCTAAAAATCATGGAATGTTTGCTAAATGTCAGGACGGTTTAAGTACTTTATATATATTAAGTTATTTAATCTTCCTAGCCTTTAAGAAACGCTATTATTGTTGTTTCCCTTTTACAGATTAGGGGACTAGGGCACAGAGCAGTTATGTAATTTGCTTAAGGTCACACAGCTAGTAGTGGCCATGCCAACTTTAGAACTCAGACAGTCTGGAATTAGAGGCTGTACACTTAACCACAGCTCTGAACTGCGTCTCATGATAGTTATCAAGTTGTTATAGAAATAAACCATATATACGATAAAATGATATCAAACTATACATACACAACATTATTCCAGTGTGTATGGTTGGTTGGTTTTTTTTTTTTTTTTTTTTTTTTTGAGACGGAGTCTTACTCTGTCGCCCAGGCTGGAGTGCAGTGGTGTGGTCTTGGCTCACTGCAAGCTCCGCCTCCCAGGTTCACGCCATTCTCCTGCCTCAGCCTCCCGAGTAGCTGGGACTACAGGTGCCCGCCACCACATCTGGCTAGTTTTTTGTATTTTTAGTAGAGACGGGGTTTCACTGTGTTAGCCAGGATGGTCTCAATCTCCTGACCTCGTGATCCACCTGCCTTGGCCTCCCAAAGTGCTGGGATCACAGGCGTGAGCCACCACGCTTGGCCTGCCAATGTGTATGGTTTTTTAGTTTTGCTATTATACTCTAATTGTGTGAGATTTAACCATCTGGGGAAAGTGAGCAAAGAATACACAGGACCTTTCTGTATTCTTTTTTTTTTTTTTTTTTTGCAGCTTCCTGTGACTCTATAATTATTTCCAAATAAGAGGTCAGAACAAAAGCAAACCACAATCAACAGTGTATTGAATTCTTATTGTATGCCAAGCACTGTGATAAACATTTAACATTTATTATTTTATTTACTCCTAACAGCAACCCAATAAGATGTGGGTACTATCATTATCTTTAGTTACAGATGAGGAAACTGAGGGTTGGCAAGGTTAATAAGTTGGATACCATCAATAAGAAGTAGTATGACCACTGGGTAGTACCCACCTAGATTTATTATAAACATCAAATCAGAAAAAGCACCTGGTATATGGATGTTCTGTAAATGTTGATTTCCATGTGTTTGCTTGGCAAGCACAGAGCCCTGCTAGGTGCCATACACAGTCTAGCATTAGCCAGTCCAAGCCTCTGCTGGTTTGGCTCACAGGATGCTAGGGATATAAGGACAAGTACAACATGTTTCCACCATCAAGGAGCATATAGTTGGGGAACAGTGACTTCCATGGTTCCAAAGGCAAGTTGTATGTATGTATGTATGTATGTATGTATGTATGTATGTATGTATGTATTTGAGATAGGGTCTCACTCTGTCGCCTAAGCTGGAGTGCAGTGGCACAATCACAGCTCATTCAGCCTCAACCTTCTGGGCCCAAGCAATCCTCCTACCTCAGCCTCCCAAGAAGCTGGGACCACAGGTGTGTGCCACCATACCCAGCTAATTATTTTTTGTAGAGGTGGAGTCTCCCTGTGTTGCCCAGGGTAGTCTCAAACTCCTGAGCTCAAGCAATCCTCCCATCTTGGCCTTCCAAAGTGCTGGGATTACAGGCATGAGCCACCACTCCTGGCCTAGTTGTATGTATTTAGCATATGAACCCAGAGGAAGTACCCTCCTACCTCAGAGCTCCCTCCCCTGGAGCCAGAGTCTGGATGGTTGGACCCAAGCCAGGCACCTTCCTGGGACTCAAGGACACAGTGAGGGTTTGAAAGAGGGAGCATTATCAATCACCATGTTGGATGGCATCAGTGATTATTATCTTCATTTCCATCAAAGGTGTCTTGTGAAAGGGTGTCATCAAGTTCAATTTAGTCTGAATCAGGACATGGCAAGGACTTATTTTCTATTTCTGCCCTGGGCTGGACCTGTCTTGAATAATTCAGTGTTCATCATCTACTTCTAAAAGCCGAGCTTCCTGCACTTCCCCGCCATCACCCGTCCCTATACAGCTTTATCCAGGGTCATGTGGCTGCTTGTTACTCCCTGTCTCATCTCCATCAAAAACCCACCCATCCCCACCTCTGGCTGCTAGTAAATGAGTGTTTTCAGGAAAGAGAATCAACTTTAGGTATGTAGTACAAGGTATCAGCTGCCTAAAGTCAAGAGGCAGCCCTCAGGGCAAAAGGCGTCACACAGTAGCCTAGGGACATCTTTCAACCTAGCACTCTTTAAAAAAACGAAGAAAACCCAAAACTTGACGATATGCTATCATCTAAAACTTGGGAGAGTCCCTGATCTGGCAACAGCTGGCTAGAGCTGAATAGCATCTGCCCCCTCTAGATAGGCAAATGCTGTTCCCACCCCCCAAACTCCACTTGTTTACCTTGCATGCCTGGTCCCCAAGAGCATCTGGTTGTCAACCTCTGAGGTGGAGGAAGGAAAGCCCTCAGGCTGGGCACGGTGGCTCACGCCTGTAATCCCAGCACTTTGGGAGGCTGAGGCGGGCGGATCACCTGAGGTCAGGAGTTCCAGAACAGCCTGGCCAACATGGTGAAACCCCATCTTTACTAAAAATACAAAAATTGGCTAGGTGTGGTGGTAGGTGCCTATAATCCCAGCTACTCGGGAGGCTGAAGCAGGAGAATAGTTTGAACCCAGCAGGCGGAGGTTGCAGCGAGCCGAGATCGTGACACTGCACTCCAGCCTGGGCAACAGAATGAGACTCCATCTCAAAAAAAAAAAAAAAAAGGAAAACCGTCTACAGTGGTGAACAGATTAGATGTTTTCAAAGATACGTGGGCTATGTTTGATCCTGAAACCATGCAGGAAGCTGCCCACCCACCCTTCTGAGGCCAGTGTTACATCTAGTCCTCTTGGTCGGGGAGCTAGGATTCTAGAGGAGAATTCTCAGCCCTGCATCAACACCCTGACTGCGGCAGGATTTCTGAAAGAGCCATTGGGGGAACTACATGCTGACTTGGATCGTTGTGCATCCGTGCATGAAGCATCCATGAGAAAAGGGCTGGTCTGGAGTGTTTCTGGCTGATGGGTCACCAGATAAGGAGCCAGAAGACGTAAGTTTCAGTCTGGCTGTACCACTTGCTAAGTGGACATTTGACTTGTTTGATTTTCTTATCTGTAAAATGGGGATAATGTCCACTGTGCCTACCAACAGGGTGGATGAGAGGATCGAGTCACGTGATTGTATGAAAATGTTATGAACTGTGGAGTTGTATTGAAAAATTAGGTGGTGTGACAGCTATGGTAGGCTGTGGAAGCACACACAACCTCTCTGAGTGTGGAAATCAGGAGTTGACAAGCTAGGGCCAGTGGGCCAAATCCCATCCACTGCAAATGGTTTTTATATTTTGAAATGGTTGAAAGATAATCAAAAGACAAATGATGTTCCATGGCACATGGCATTTGTGTGAAGTTCAAATTTCTCTGTCCACACATGAAGGCTCGTTGGGACACAGCCTTACCATTTGGTTGCAAGTTGTCTGTGGCTGCTCTTGCTCTACAACAGACGAGGTGGGGAGTTGTGAGAGAGACCACATGGTCCACAAAGCATAAAGTATTTGCTACCTGACCCTTAGAGAAAGCTTACCAAGCTGTGGCCTAGGTCATGGAGGGGCAGAGGCTGAATCCCCTCCCTTCTTTTCCTTTGTTTCTTCTGCCACCCAGAAGTAGGTGCTACTGCAAATGGGTGGCCCAAGCAAGGAATATCTTCAGATCTCACAGAAGCAAATCTGCTGTGACCACAGCAAATCTGCCCTAAACAACAGAGCCAGGAATTTCTCCCAGTTTAATTCCTATCGAGTGCTTCCATCCTCTGAGCTCCAGCTTAGAGGCACTTCCCGATGAAAACCACAGCATTCGTTTGTAAAACCAATCCCCCTTTTAGCAACAACCACAAAAAGAGAAGGGGCTGTTCCTGTCACAGTGGGCATTTCTCCATCGTGTTCACTACCCCAGGGGCCTGGTCAGTGGTGCTTCCTCTCCTTGGCCACAAACTGGCAAGAAACACAAAGGGCAACTGCTGTTCTGATAAGGCTGTGGGGGGCATCAGCGCTGAATCATGTCCCCCAGAAGATATGTTGAAGTCTTAACCCCTAGGACCTCGGAATGTCACTTTATTTGGAAATAAGTAGGTGTGGATGTAGTTAGCTAAGATGAGGCCCCACTGGGTAGGGTGGGTCCCCCATCCAACATGCCTGGTGTCCTTAGAGTAAGAGGGGCATCTGAATACAGGGTGAGGCACACGTGGAGGATGCATGGGATGTGGAGGGCTGTGTCTAGCAGACGAGGAAGCTGGGAGGAGGCAACGGAAAACTTACCAGGGTCCCAGAGGAAACAGGGCCCTGCCGACACCTTGATTTCAGACTTCTTGCCTCCAGGAGTGTAGCAGAATAAAGTTCTGCTGTTTAAAGCCTCCCAGTTCATGGTACTTTGTTACAGAAGCCCCAGGAAACTCACGCAGTGGCTGGCCCACCCTGCCGGTGCAGCATTCCAATACCCTTCCAGTACCTGTCATTATCCCTGTTCTACAAATAAGGCAGTAAAGGCACGGCAAGTTCCAATGACTGCCTGAGGTTTTGGCTAGTGGCAGAGCAGGAATCAAACCCAGGCCCTCTGATTCCACGCTGCTGCAGTGGATGATCTGGGAAATGTCAGCCGTCCTGTCCCCATCCCTAGCATCCACTAAGAGGAGAGAGTGGGTTCTCAGACTGATGGCATCTTCTGCTTCGTGTTCCTCATTCCAGGAGCTCTGAGGTAGTTATTTTTCTACTGTGAGCATCTGAACTTATTTACTTGACTTCTTAAATATGTACAAGAAAAACATCAGGCCAGACACAGTGGCTCAAGCCTGTAATCCCAACACTTTGATAATCCAAGAGAACCCAAGACAGGTGGATCACTTTGAGCCCAAGAGTTCAAGACCAGCCTGGGCAACATGGAGAAAACCTGTTTCTCCAAAAAAAATTAAAAAGTTAGCCGAGCATGGTGGCTGGCGCCTATAGTCCCAGCTACTCAGGAGGCTGAGGCTGGAGAATCACTTCAGCCCGGGAAGCAGAGGTTGTAGTGAGCCGAGATCAAGCCACTGCACTCCAGCCTGGGCAACAGAGCCAGACCCTGTCTAAAAAAGAAATCTTAAAATAGGGAGCATGTTTTACATACATTTGTGCATTATTTATAATAAAAATTGAAGAGGAGTGAACTCTCATTTTCTTAGCATTTACAGTGTATCTGAAGAATGTGCTTAAGAGATCCTTGGGGAGGTACCCCAAAAAACCCCCGTGTGCAAGGCAATTTAATAAGGGAAGTCTCCAATGTCCTCCTGGAAAGCATAAGAACACTGATACTTCCTTCTCAGATAGCACCTGGTTGGCCAAGTCCTTGTGTAACAAACATAAACGAAATCCACACCAAAAACTGGAGATGATGCACTTTCCCCCACTAGGGTGATTCCTTTTCAAACCTTCAACTCACCCACTGGAGAAGAAACTCAGGTTGCAAGTGAAATCTTACCATTCAAAGTCTAGGATTTTTTTTGTTTCAAATATTGCCTTTTCTCTGTGTTACAAGTATTTTCAAACATGCAGACATGTATTCAGGGCCCAGGTTTAGGGTTTCTCAACTACGGGGATGGAAATGTGGGATGGGGGCAGGGAGTGATGCCGTCAGGATGGGGAAGAGGCCAGGGTTGGGGTCCAGGAAAGAGAATGCCAGGGACCTTCAGAAAGTCAGCAAGACTGAGCCCCAGTGGGGTGTTCCTGGCCAGTTGAGTCTGTCCCTGTCTGCCGTGGTGACCCAGGTTTCTCCATGGAATTCCACCAGCATTGGCTTGCTCTTCTGAGGGCTGCCGCCTCTCGAGCACCCAGAATTTGAATGCCTGGCCTCAGCTACAGAGTACTTGGCCGTCGTGACACATGGCTGGCAGCATCCGACGTGCACGTCTGCTGCTGCCAATAAAGAGAATTGTTTCTTTCTCTGAACAGAGTCCATTTACATTGAGAGAATTTTCCTCTCCTACCTCCACCAGCACTTCCTCCCCGCCCCGCCCCTCCCTCCCCTACCACCCCACAAAAAGGAAAAAGCTTTTGGGGAATTTGTTTTTAGTGGGCTCACTCAAAAGGAGCTTTATGTTTATTTTCTGAGTGGCCTCTGGACTGTTGTGTCCATTTATCATACCTCCCCCGCCTCTCCCTCCCCTCCCACCCACTGGCCCCCATCTCTCCTCTACTCTGAAAACCTAAACTTCATCAAACTGTTCCTAACGACTACCACATGTCTACAGAGGGCACAGGGGGTGGGGGAGGGGGATCTGGGAAATGAAGAAACCCTCCAAGGAGCACAGTAGCGTATTAAAATTCAATGGCTTAGTCATCAGAGTTTTCAGCCCAAGCACCGAAGAAAAATAAATGAATGTTCTGTAACAGTCTTGTGGATCTCGGAGGAAGGGGGTGGCAGGGGAGGGAGAGGAGAGGAGATGTTGTGGTTTTTAGATAGAGGAGTTCATGCTGTAGAGAACAATTAAGGCCTTTGCTCAGAAATAACAAGACACACTACTGTTTTCCTGCTTGCTGGAGGAGTGCATAGTGTCAGGGCTGGCAGGGATTGGTCTGATCGGCCAGCTCTGCTCACGGATGAGGAAACTAAGGCCCAGGCCAGGGATGTGACTTCTTTAGAGTCATATAAGTAGAGGCCAGGTGCAGTGGCTTATGCCTGTAATCCCAGCACTTCGGGAGGCTGAGGCAGGAAGATTGCTTGAGCCCAGGAGTTCAAGGCCAGACTGGGCAATATAGTGAGACCCCATACTTCCGAAAAAAATGTAACAATTTGCTAGGCATGGTGGCATGTGCCTGGAGTCCCAGCTACTTGAGAGGCTGAGGTGGAAGGATTGCTTGAGTGCAGGAGTTTGAGGTTACGATGAGCTATGATCGCACCACTGCACTCCAGCCTGGGTGACAGAGTGAGACCCTGTCTCTAAATAAGTAGATAAATAAATAACAAAAATGAATTCGTGGTAGAGATGGAACTGGATCCCCTCAATCATTCTTTCCTCCCAACTCAGGCAGATCTGCTTGGAGTTTCTGATGGTGTTTTATTCTGTTTTTTGAGATGGAGTTTTGCTCTTTTCTCCCAGGCTGGAATGCAGTGGCGTGATCTTGGCTCACTGCAACCTCTGCCTCCAGGGTTCAAGCGATTCTCCTGCCTCAGCCTCCCGAGTAGCTGGGGTTACAGGCACCTGCCACCATGCCCAGCTAATTTTTGTATTTTTAGCAGAGACAGGGTTTCACCATGTTGGCCAGGCTGGTCTCGAACTCCTGACCTCAGATGATCCACCCACCTCGGCCTCCTAAATTGTTGGGTTTACAGGCATGAGCCACCGTGCCCGGCTTTTTTTTTTTTTTTTTTTTTTTTTTCTTGAGACAGAGTTTTGCTCTTGTTGCCCAGGCTGGAGTGCAATGGCATGATCTCGGCTCACCGCAACCTCCACCTCCCGGGTTCAAGCGATTCTCGTCTCAGCCTCCCAAGTAGCTGGGATTACAGGCATGTACCGCCACGCCTGGCTAATTTTGTATTTTTAGTAGAGATGAGGTTTCTCCATGTTGATCAGACTGGTCTGAAACTCCCAGCCTCAGGTGATTTGCCCACCTTGGCCTCCCAAAGTGCTGGGATTACAGGCATGAGCCACCACGCCCAGCCAATTCTGATGGGTTTTAAGAGCATCAGCTCTTGGGCTGAGAACTGCCATGGTGTCCGCAAGGTACTCACCCCATTGAGGGTAGCTGCTTCAGTGACATTGCACCAATGCTGGTGGGCCTTTCTCCACCCATCCTCTCCCCCAGCTAGGCCGGTGAAAGGGCCTGGGTGTTTGTGAGTTGTCTTATATGCTCAGGCTTCAAGGACTCAACCTGCCTCTGGAACTTGTTGCTTCGGTTCTATTTTTCCTTGTATCCCTGCATCTTCCTTAGGAAGGATAGACCAGATTGCCCTTTCCTTTGCTTTTTTCAAATGAAGCGACTGAGTCACGAGGAAGTGAGAGGACTTGGTAAAATCCTGAGTTGATAGTGAAAGAAATGGTTCTGCAATGCACATCTCCCCTTTCCCTGTCCTCCATGCTGATTCAGATCCCTCATTTTGGTGACCAAGGACATTGAATAGGAGAGATATTGTGAAATCTTTGAGCTCAAAGTTTTAGAGGAGAATGAAGCCAAGCCCCTGTTCCGAGGATGAGGAAGTGGGGTCGGGATGAGGAGGGGTCTGGCCAGGGCCAGCAGGCATTACAGGCTCGGGCCAGCAGAAATGTGGCATTCACCCTGGACTAGCTGTGGGACACGCTTCGAACAGTTTAATGTCCCAGGAGGGATTGAAGTGTGGCCAGTCCATGCCACCCACCACTGGTCCCAGAACAGGGAGAGCATTGTAGTTGACTATTATATTGGCTTTGAGTCTCCGTTTGGGCTTCTTTGATCAGCTTGGGAGAAAACTGAAAGAAAAAGGTAGACAAAGTAACCACCCAACTCAGCTAAATTGCTGGCAGCAAAAAGTCAAAGAAAATCAGATTTTCTGAGCAAGTTTGAAAGGTCTCCCTCGAGTAGCTGGGCAAATTCCCATGGATCTGGGCCATGAAGCAACATTTCCAAAGGCATTGGTCTGCTCTTGCTTCCTCTGTGTTATGGCAGAAACACTGGCTGTATCCAGACCTCTGACCGTTCTTCCTGTCCACAGCACAGAGACACATCGCCATGTGCCTGATGTGCTGCCATTGAATCCTAGGGATGGTGTGAATTGAAGAGCCCATCTCACAGAGGAAGAAACTGAGGCCGAGAGAGCTAGGGAAACCCTGCTTTGAACTCTCGGCCTCGAGACTGCTCACTATACTCCCTATTCAGGGCTTCCCTCCAAGCTGCTTCTAGAAGATCAGATGTGTTTGGAGACTCTCCTGATGGCCCTAAAACTCTCGCCCTTTTTCTCCTGCTGGAGAAGCCTAGTAAGAAGGCCTGTGTTACTTCCCTTAGAGAAAACATTGGGAAACTTACCCTGGAAGACCACTGATCTCACAGAGCAAAGCCAGCCAAACGTCAGACTCCATAAAGACGTCAGCATGTTAAGGAGAACCGTCTGGGCCTGCAGTACTCACACACACCAGCCTTGTTAGCAGATGGGTTTATGTTCTCCCTCCCGTGCCACAAATTGCAACCTCCATGGCAGATACCAGTGGGGGACTGGGGTCGGGCCTGAGGACAGTGTCTTGCGCATGCCTGATGTGTGTCGTGTGTCACTTTGTGGGCTAGGAGATAGGGCTCCTGGGGGTAGGTCAGCCCATTCATCCTTGTTTCCCTACTGTGCCTAGAATTGAGCTCTGTCCCCAGAGGGTGCCTACAACATGCCTAGGGAATGAGTCCCTGGGCTGGTAATGGAAACTCTTAACCCACTGCTGCACCTGGCTGGCTTCCCAGCCTCTGCAAGAATGAGTCAGCCACCTGCAGGAGAGCCTCAGGGAAGAGCCTAGCACTTCCAATCCAGATAAGCTTTGGCTACCTGGGCCTGTGACAAGTGACAATAAAAGGAAAGCCTGAGCAGACCTGTGTTTATAAGCATGAGGGAGGGGTCTGCACTCAGGTGTGCTAATTAAAAGCTGAGAACCTGCAAAAGAACTTATGTTTAAACCACACCTCCTCTCTCCATCCACCCTGCCTTATCCTGCTGGTTGCTTTTGTTGCAATAAAAAGCCGATTTTATTTCCCCCACAGAGCCTTTGTTAATGAATTTCTAACCAGAACCTAAAGTTAGGGAATGTGAAGGGGGAGTGTGGCCCTCATGCAAGCGCATGCACACATATGGACTCTCACACGTAAGACCAAACACTCCATGGCTCCTCTCTGTGTCCCCCCAACCCCCACCAAAAGCAGCATTTCTTGAGAGATGGACCCTTAACCTCAGTGTATCCAAGGCCCAAAGGACCTAATGAAAACCAGAGCTACCACCAAAGCATTTCTGATGCTAAACCGGCCTCCGGAGTCCTTTAGCATCAGGGCCCTGGGCTGTGAGTGAGCTCAGTTCAAAACAAATCTGGGGCCCATTATCTCCCTGGCCTGATTTCGTCTCCTGTGGCTGCCCTATTAGACCTTTCCTGGCATGATGACATGTTTTGCCGGGTCCTTCTCCTTTGTCCAATTTCCAGGGCAGTGTTTAGGCAGCTCAAAGTAGAGCGCAGTGCTGGGTACTGACCTCCTGGGCACCTGAGGGTTTGCAGGTGACAATCGCCCACAAGAGGTGGCAGGAAGTAGGATGGTGTTGACCTGGCAAGCTCTGGTGGAAGCCCTTGAGAAAACAGTATTGCATTATTGTCACTGTTAATAATGGCCCTTTATTTGAGCTTTGCTAGGACAATGCTCTAAACAAAGCTGAGAGGAAGAAACAGTCCCTGCTGTGGGGCCTTGTAATTTATCAAGGCTAATGGAGGAAGAAAAATCCACTGGGGAAAGATTGTGGGGGTGGGCTGGCGATAGATTTGATTGTTGCTGGAGGTGTAATTGGACGATACCCACAGCCTAGCTATGCATCCCTATTTGCTTTGTTGCAACAGGACTGTGTTTCTAGCCCCTCCTTTGTCTTGTCTAGTTCCGCTGGATCTGAGTCCCTTGAAGGCAGATTGAGGTCTAAGTCCTGGATCTGATGTAGCAGCATGACCTCAAGCGGGTTCCTTTACATCTGAGCCTTAGGTTTCCTCGTCTGCAGGGGAGGTACCCAGATTGGAAATCATGAGAGTCCAAGCCCCTTAAATTGCTAAAGGAATACTAGCTGCCAAAAACAGATGACAAAAGTATTGAGGAAAGAGGACTTGCTAGAAGTGTCTTTGCATTTCTTAGAGGATCCAAATCCCAAGGTTGGACCTAACTGAGGCCACCATTTACTGAGAGTGCAAGCATCAAACCTGTTGCATCTCTGGACATCATTTATTTCTCTATCAAAGAACTGTTGCAAGAATGGTTGCCTCCCACCTTTTCCACACAAGGATGTGAGTCGGTGTTGTTTTCTTGTTGGGTGCTGGACTCACTGTACCAGGGGTATGGTGGCATTTCAGGGCTGGAAGGCCTCTATGAAAACCAGCACCCCACCCTGCCAAGTTGGAGGTCCTGCTGTCCTCCAGAAATGCTGGCAGCCACAAGCTGCAGCTGTGTTGCAACAAGTCTGATTTAATTTGGGGGGTGGTACAGAGATAGCACTGTGATGTTTTTTAAAAGCCAGAAGAATACAGCTTATTCACCAAACTGTGAAACTGGCTATGCCTTGGGTGGGGGAAGCCAGAGGAAAATGTGTGATAGCGTTTTTTAAAAGAGTAAAAATGGTGATAATTATAAATTTACTATAATGCCCATTATTGCATGAGATCTAAGTGGATTAACTCATTATAGCTAAGTCAGCATCAGGTTTTCTTAAGGCCTCTTCCCTTCTGGGGTTTATAATTCTGTTCTTATCTTTCTATTAATTTATAAGGTGGGAAGCCAATCATTGTCTTTTGTAATCCTTGTTATCACCCCCTTGTTTCCTCAGAAGTAAAAATCAGGCAAAAAAAAAAAAAGTACTTTTTTATATAATGCAATTGGAGTAAACCTGAAAATGTTGGTAAATAGGAGGATTTCTATAAGTTAAATTTTCTTTCAAATGTATGAAAAAAACAGACTACCTTGTAGAATCCCATTGTAAATAGTTTTGTCAAGCAAGGATGTGTCCATATATTTGTCTTTGTGGTAAGCCTGGATCTTTCCTGTCCACAGCTGTGACACTGTGTACTCAAGCTGATACATCAGTCACTCTAGCAGCATTTCTGTTTTTTATATTAACTTATATCCTTTCTCTATAAAATTTTCTAGGTTATTAAACCTAGGTGAGCGTGATTGAGAGAGATGTGAAAGTGCCTTACAAAGTGTCTTTTTTTGGGGGGGGCAGGCGGGGAGATGGAGTCTTGCTCTGTTGCCTAGGCTGGAGTGCAGTGGTACAATCTCTGCTCACTACAACCTCTGCCTCCCAAGTTCAAGCGATTCTTCCACCTCAGCTTCCCAGGTAGCTGGGATTACAGGCACCCACCAGCACACCCAGCTAATTCTTTGTACTTTTAGTAGAGACAAGGTTTCACCATGTTGGCCATGCTGGCCTCAGGTGAGCCACCACACCCAGCCTTAGAAAGTGTCATTTAGATGGGAGAAAGCTATACACCCCACAGGACAAGGACGTGTGGCTGTACAGTAGGGTGGAAGAAAGCCTGGAATGGAAATGGAGTCTCAGTTTGCCCTCAGCTCTGCCCTCACCTTTTGCATGACCCTGGGCAGGACACTTAGTCTCCATGGGCTTCCATATTCACATCTGTAAAATGAGGGGTACCGATTGGATGCTTTAAGAAAACCTGTGAGATAAGCGTTTCAGAATTCTTCCAATGGTGCTATCCCAGACCAAATGTCCATTTAAGAAAAACTATTAATCCCTTATCAATACAATTTATCCTTTGAAGGAGGTAGCTGTGTGTTTCTAGACAACATCCCGAGGAGTAACTCTATCTGGGGATTCCGCTGCCTTTTCAGAGCCCTGCACTGCAGTGTGTGCTGACATGTCCTCTTCAGAGACCCCTCATTGAATTACACCGTGATCAGCGGTTGGGACCTTCTGTGTTTATTATTCAGGAGGCAGTACACAGCCCTCCGCCCTGCAGAGTGCAGGTACTTTATCAGCTAGGATCAGATGGGTTATTGAATTCAGAAAATCTTCATTTTGTATTCAGCTTGCTTCTCCCTGTTCCACTTGATCACGTTCCTCATTGACTCTCAGGGCCCTTGGGGATTTCATGGCGAGAAGCCTCCAAGCGCTGAACGGTGGGTACACTTCTGTCCTCTTTGTACTTAGGCAGGGCACCCAGGAAAGCAATTATTCCAGAGCCTTACTTTACATTTAGCAGAGATTTTCTTTTTCATTTAGGCCAGGCGTAATGGCTCATGCCTATAATCCTGGCACTTTGAGAGGCCGAGGCAGGCAGATTGCTTGAGCCCAGGAGTTTGAGACCAGCCTGAGCAACATGGCAAAACCCCACCTCTAGAAAAAATACAATAAAAAATTAGCCAAGTGTGGTGGTGTGCACCTGTGATCTCAGCTCCTCGGGAGGCTAAGGTAGGAGGATTGCTGGAGCCCAGGAGGTCGAGGCTGCAATGAGCTGTGATTATGCCACTACGCTTCATCCTGGGTAACAGAGACCCTGTCTCAAATAATAATAATAATAAAGTTTATTTAGGGGAAGGTCTCTGGGATTTGTTGACTAGTCCTAGTTTTCTAGGGGTGCTAAGCATTTGAGGACAGCTATGAATGTGATCCAGCCAGTTTTGAAACGCCATTGATAGGTTATATTTCTGATTAATGTAACCGGTCACCTTTCTTTAAGGCTGCAGGCCAGATCCCAGCTGCTGAAAGGGAGAGAAAGAGACAGTGATACCCCACAGATCTGAAAGTCAAGGAAAGGCTGAACTTCTATATCACCCAGAGGAGAATACCTGACTATTTCTGAGAAGGAGGGGAGCTGAGTAGGGGAGAATTTCCATAGAGTTCTGCATTTCCTCTTCATTCTCCACAAAACAAAAATCTGTTCATCGTTTGCAAGTTTCTGTGGTGGTTCTTACCTATTCCCCAAACTACTTTTAAGAGCTTAGGGTTGCTGGGTACATTTCCTCCCTTATCTTCCCTGCTTTATTCCTGCTATAAAATCACCACACTTAATTCAAACCAGAGTTGTTTGATCTGCCCTGCCAGGCCTCGTTCAGACTTGGTGGTGCTGACTAGCAAAAGCCCAGGCCAGACACATGAGCTTATGACCTCACTGTGGAGGACAGGCAGAGAGCAGAGGGCGGACTAGGGTGGAGAGACATACCTGGGCTATTAGACCAAAATGCTAACAAGCCTGACCCCAAGAACAATTGCAACAGTAACAGTAACAACAGCAAGAATTAACAATAGCAGCAAACATACATTGAACACTTAGACTTCACCAAGCAAATAAATGTTCAATCCTCACACATAGCATAATGTGAGCAGAACAGCAGGTGAAAAACAACCAGGTATATAAATATAAAGTGATATGCCCCACCACTACCACACGCATATGTACTACACTTCCCTAACAAGAGCAGGCACTTCTGGCTGGGCACAGTGGCTCACGCCTTTAATCCCAGCACTTTGGGAGGCCGAGGCAGGTAGATCACCTGAGGTCAGGAGTTTGAGACCAGCCTGGCCAACATGGTGAAACCCCGTCTCTACTAAAAATACAAAAATTAGCTGGGCATGGTGGCAGGTGCCTTACTCAGGAGGCTGAGGCAGGAGAACTGCTTGAGCCCAGGAGGTGGAGGTTGAATTCAGCTGAGATCGCCCTGCTGCACTCCAGCCTAGGCAACAAGAGCAAGACTCCGTCTCAAAAAAAAAAAAAAAAAAAAAAAGAGCAGGCACTTCTGTAGTGCTCACTAGGCACAGTTCTAAGGACTGTGCATATTTTAACTCACAACTCTAAGAGGCAATTCCTACTGCTGTTTCCATTTGATAGATGGCACCAAAACACTGAGAAGTTAAATAAGTTGCCTAGAGCAACACTGGATTGTCTTCAGTCTACTATTGTGTCATTAATTCCATCTCTGTAAATCTTTGACAGGGGTATTTCTCATCTGTAAGACAGGTGTGATGGTACCTCCTCTTACCTCTCTCTCACTGTGAGGATTAAAGGGAAAAAAAAATGAAGTGGGATAGATATTTGTAAATTGTCATTCCATATTCAAATGACCTGTGGGGAAAACCTGTGAGGGATACACAGTAATAGTGGAGAACTGTTGGGATCAGTGACACAAAGTTTATAGGCCAACATCACAATCCATAAAGTATGCCCTGGGACCCTTAATCCTGAGATTTCTATGGGGACAACACAGATTGGAGTTATTGAGGCGGGTCCTGACAGTGGAGTTGCAGGGGTCATTAGAGAACTGCCTGAAGGCTCTGCTGCCCCTGCCTGGGCCTTGCCTCCTTGAGGGACTCTGGGCTGGGGACTCAGGGAGACTGGGGTAGCATGGCCTGTGACTGATTGGGATGTGCTTTGGAGGGATTAGGTGGGTCCATGTGATTATTAACAACCCCTAGGTAGAGAATATCTCCTCAAGGCCAGGTGCAGTGGCTCACGCCTGTAATCCCTATACTTTGGGAGGGTGAGGTAGGTGGATTGCTTGAGCCCAGGAGTTTGAGACCATTCAGACCATTCTGGGCAACATAGCAAGACCCTATCTTTACAGAAAATAAAAATAAATTAGCCAGATGTGGTGGTGTACGCCTGTAGCCCCAGCTACTCAGGAGGCTGACATAGGACAATGCCTGAGTCCAGGAGGTCGAAGCTGCAGTGAGCCATGTTTGCACCACTGCACTCCAGCCTGGGCAACAGAGCGAAATCCTGTCTCAAAAAAAAAGAAGTCACTCCTCAGTCGTATTAGCTGCATTTCAAATGCTCGATGATTGTGTGGGTTAGTGACTACTGTGTTGGACAGCACAGATACAGAGCACTGTCACCATTACAGAAAGTTCTAGAGGCTACCTGATTCATCTGAGTATATGATGGCAAGCCTTCTCTTTCCTTGGCTGGGTTCTGTGCCCGTTTCTAGTGTAAAAACTCTCCTCCACCTTCACCTCTTAGAGGCCTCCTGGAGATGTGGCGCTCTGGGTTGCTTTTGATAAGTACCAATTCTAAATGCTGCAGTCGCTTTTTCTTCCTTCTCTGCTGCCATAGAGCCACATCTTCCTGAGCCACGTGTGGCTCTTGGGTTCATTTTCTTTTCATTTTTTCCACCATGGTGTTCTGAATGGACAAGTCAGAATTCAGAGGTTGGTATTAAGACCTATCTTCATAACAAGCCCACTTCATCGGACCATAGGCCACCTGCTATTTGTACTAACACTTGGGGTCATTTCATGTGTGAGGAATAATGAAGTTGCACTGTATATTCAGAACTTTAATATTTCTTAAATAAGTTTGTGTTTTACCAGCTAAGCTGCTCAGAAGGCATTTGACTACTATGAGTGGCTCTGTGTGTAGATGAGCCCTGGTTGGGTAGCAGTTCAGAGCAACTCAAGAAATCTGGCCAGAGACAGGACAAACTCTGTCTCATCCTTGCAGCTGCACAGCCATGACAGTCCACAAAACGGAGAATTTGCCAGCAAGATTTTTTAGGTTGTAATTTTCCTCTTGGTTAGCCTGTGGCTCTCCGTCCGTCCCCTCCGGAGTGAAAGAGCGTGAGTGTTGAGATAAGAGACTGGGAAAATAGACTTCATGAACCATTTTTCACTTGGGAAACAAAAAAGTCATTGGTGATTTTGCCTTGAGTGTTTGGAACCTGACACCAACCTCGTCCTCCACCAAGCCCCCAAATGTCACACTGTACAGGTTGCCGACACCATGTCTCATTAGCGACTTGATTCTCCCCCAACCCTGGCTTCTTTTCCCAAACAAACCCCCTACAACTGGAAGGTCAGAACCCCGGACAGCTTTTTACACAGCCACCATATGGTGTTTGCTTTAGCACGGATCCACAAATGATGTGTTATTTCAGTGGAGGTGCAGAAAATTATATGACAAAACCGGGTTTGTTTCTCTGCTAGAAACCCAAGGCTGAAATACTGCAGTATTCCTTCAAGACTGACTCAGAAGACGAAAGGGAGCCTTTCCCAGAATTAGGGGGCATTCACCAGGGACCAGAAGGGAGGGGGGAGAAAGACAACATTGCACTGGTCACTAGTGGCTGGGCCAGTGGTTTATTTTCTGTCTGTGTTTTATTAAGTTTATGTTTTCCATCTGACTGTTCCTCGTGTGATTTATTTGTCTCTAGGTGCCCCCCGCCCCACCCCCCACAAGTAGATGATAAAACCGACGGCAGTGTGGACAACACAGTTGCTGAGACTCTTTGGTTGGATTTTACGCAGGAACAGAAATAGGTGTTGGGCTAGTGCCAGGGTGTTTTGTGAGGACTTAATCTCCACCTAGTGGGTTCTGCACCATTTTGGACTGAATGCTGATGTCCTGAAAACTGGGCTGGGTAGTGATGCCCGAAAGGAAATGATCAGGAGTTGGGTTTTACTTAAGAAGACATTTGGAATGTCCTTGAGGCCATTGTGGGATCACATTTCTCCCCCTCTATTTTTATGGCTCCTCGGATAAGACCGGTAGAGGAGGGGAAAAAAAATGTATTTAATTTCTGGGCGGGCCTGGTGGCTCACGCCTGTAATCCCAGCACTTTGGGAGGCCGAGGCGTGCGGATCACTTGAGCTCAGCAGTTCAAGACCAGCCTGGGCAACATGGTGAAACCCTGTCTCTACAAAAATATAAAAATTAGCCAAGTGTGGTGGCACGTACCTGTAGTCCCAGCTACTTGGGAGGCTGAGACACAAGAATTGCTTGAAGTTGAAGTTGAACTTGAGTTGAAGTTGAAATCGCTTGAGGTTGCAGTGAACTGAGATTGTGCCACTACACTCCAGCCTGCGCAACAGAGCGAGACTGTGTCTCAAAAAAAAAAAAAGAAGTTTTTAATTTCTGACTCACTTTTCTAATTTTTAGAAATATAACTTAGAACCATGGAGCAGCTTAAAGGATTTTGAATCCTGAGCACCTTGTCCTTTTTGATCTGAGGAGATCCCTGCCATGGGCTGTCTGTACCGTTCTCTGCTGGGTGCATTCCTTCCTTTTACTTCCCAGAGTTGAGGGGAAAGGTGAGAAAGTGATGTGGATCCTGATAGGGCTCCTGGGCAGGACAATTACTCTAGGCCCTTAGGCTAGAGGTCAAGTTTAGGAGAAGATCACACAATGGAAATAGTTTAGGAGTTTAGAGAGTGAAGTGCTTAATCCGATTCAGCTTGAGCCAGATCTCTGAATTTCAGTTTTCTCATCTGTAAATGGCATAAATGTGCTCTGTTTGCTTGTTGTGAACATTGAATGATATGGTATGGATGGAAGTAATTTGTGCAAAATTTGGCTTTATGCCTTTGTTGTCCGGTATAGTACCCACTAACCATATGTGGCTATTTACATTTAAATTAATTAAAATAAAATCAGGGCTGGGCATGGTAGCTCGCACCTGTAATCTCAGAGGTGTGAGGCTGGCAGATCACTTGAGGTCAGGAGTTTGAGACCAGCCTGGCCAACATGGTGGAAACACTGTCTCTATTAAAAATACAAAAATTAGCCAGGTGTGGTGGCAAGTGCCTATAATTCCAGCTACTCGGGAGGCTGAGGCAGGAGAATCGCTTGAACCTGGGAGGTAGAGGTTGCAGTGAGCCGAGATCATACCACTGCACTCCAGCCTGGGCGATAGAGCAAGACTCTGTCTCAAAAAAAAAAAAAAAAAAAGTTTCTAATATTCACTGGCCTTATTTTAAGTGCCCAAAAACCACATGTGGCTAGTGGCTACCATATTCAGCAGTACCACCATACATGAATGTAAGGAAACAGGTTTTAATAAAAGCTTCCATTGGCCGAGCACGGTGGCTCTCAAATCCCATTACTTTGGGAGGCTGAGGTGGGAGGATCACTTGAGCCCAGGATTTGAGACCGGTCTGGGAAATATGATGAAACTTCCTCTCTACAAAAAAAGAAAATACAAAAATTAGCCAGGTGTGGTGGCACATGCCTGTAGTCCCAGCTACTTGGGAGGCTGAGGTGGTAGGATCGCTTAAGCCTGGGAGGTTGAGGCTGCAGTGAGCTGTGATCATGCCACTGCACTCCAGCCTGAGTGATAAAGTGAAAGTCTGTCTCAAAAAAAAATCAAAAAGCTTCCCTTTATTTCTCGGTGTCAGAAAGAACACGAGTTTATGAGTTTACAGTCATGGAAGAGATTCTGCAGTACAAATGGGGGTAATAATACCTTCCTTATGGTGTTGTTGTGAGGATTTAATAAAATAGTGTCTGCAAAGCATTTGACTCAGTATCTGGCCTTGATAAGTGCTCAAGTGACTTAAGTCGTTTAAGTCATGACTTATTAAGCTGTGGGTACTGTTACACTGCCACTGCTGTACCACATAGGAAACTACAAATCTACATGGCCAGTGCTCTCACGGTCCACCTGGGGAGAGACCCACGAACTTCACTGAGGGAGGATTGGAGAGGGGGACATGGTAGTTTTAAGCTCAAGGGCCAAACAAGGAAGTTTTCTCTTCAGTGCCCTGCATACCAGAGAAAGATCCCTTCCTTGGGAGAATGAAGAGTTTTGCTCCCTTCCAGCAGGTAATGAAGGAGGAGAGGACACTGTGCCCAGGCAGGAAAAAGCAGCAATAACTACAGACATTTTGCTTCCTCTGTGGCTCCCTGGTAGGTTCCCCTGAAAAAAAAATTTTTTTTTTTTTTTTGAGACGGAATCTCGCTCTATTGCGCAGACTGGAGTGCAGTGGCACGTTCTCTGCTCACTGCAACCTCCGCCTCCCGGGGTCAAGGGATTCTCCTGCCTCAGCCTCCCGAGTAGCTGGGATTACAAGAGTGTGCCACCATGCCTGGCTAATTTTTGTATTTTTAGTAAAGATGAGGTTTCACTATGCTGGCCAGGCTGGTCTTGAACTCCTGATCTTGTGATCTGCCCGCTTTGGCCTCCCAAAGTGCTGGGATTACAGGCATGAGCCACTGTGCCCAGCCTTGAAAGCAGGAATTTAATTAATTTAATGAGTGGGGCTGGCTTCTCAGAGCTGTGCAGGTCTGTCTGCAACAGGGCAGGGGCCACAGGAGTTGCCGACATGAACAGTGCTCCCTGTCACTCTGAAGGAAGAAGAGAGAAGAATCCCAGGCCTCTAGTGTGTCTTCTGGCCCAGGTGAGGCCTCTGGGCCTGTGGAGATGGCAAGTGACCCAGGGACGGGTGTGAGATGGGAGAAGGGGGTGGAGATTCTCCCAGACTCTCCTGTGCTTTCCACCTGGAGGAGCTGGGGCTTCTGGTGTGGCATAGAGCAGCCTTGCCATCCTCTGGGAGGAGCATTGAGGAGATCACTTGGACTGAGCCTTTCCCAGGTGGAGATGGGGATTTGCTGGAAAACAGAAGAGGGGACCTAGGGGCTAGCACACGTAGGTTTCTCCACCAAGGGCAGCTGCCAAAGCAGCTCTTCCTCCTGGGGGTGGAGGGGTGGAATCGGGCCCTGAGCCATGTGCAGGCCAGGTGACAGCCACCTGGGTTGGGCAGGAGAGGCCCAGGTGTCCAAGCTCCCAGGAGGTCCCCCAGCCTCCTCTGGCCCAGCTGGGAGTCCAGTTGGCCCTGGTACTAGGTTAGGGAGGTCTCTGGTGGTTGCACGTTATAAAAACATGTTTGAGTAGAAGGTGGAAAATAAGACAGGAGAGGATTATTTGAAGTAGGGGAGCCCCAGGGCAGGAGAGCTTCTAAGCCTCAGGAAGGTGCTGGACCAGGACCAGGAGGCTGTCTCCCAATCCCCCTCCTGGCCCCACCCTTCCCCCCATTCTCTCTCCCTGCTCTCCTCTCTTTCAGGCAGGTTGGAGGGTTGGGGGAGTGGCACAGGAGATGCCCTAGCACAGGTTAGGAATCTAGTCTTTCTCTTAGGGTCATGCCCAGCGGTGGTGGGGAGGTCATGATGTCCAGATGGCACTCTCCCCCTGTGACTGAGGAGGGCTGGTTAAGCAGTGGTCATTATCAGCTGCCTGGATGCTCCAAAGACACCTATTCCTAAAGGGAAGTCAGCCCCAAGCCAGGGAAGAGATGGGGCCAGTCCAAAGAAAAGGCTGATAGGAAGTGGGGAGATGCGATGGTTCAGGAAGAGGCTCGTGCATCTGGCCTCCTCGCTGTCACTCCTGCCACGGCTTTCCCAGGCATGGAGTCGTGGGGCTCTGGCCAGCTCTGGTGTGGGGGCTCATGCTGTGTCAGGTGACTTCCTTTCAGCTCAGCCTCATGAACCCCTGGAGCATGAACTCCGAACCACCATCCGGGCCTTGCTGTGAGTTTTGCAGCTTTCATGAAACTCTCCTCTTCCCTGGGATTGCAAGCCCCTGGGTGGAGGGGATGGGAGTGGGGTGGGGCTGACTTTGGCAGCTTAGATCCCTGAGTGCCCTAAACACTGTGACTCCCAGGATGGGACTGGGTGAGGAAAGTCTCCTCCACTGGCTGCAGATTTCCAGTGAGCACAAGAGGAAAACAATACCAGGAATGATTTGGATCTTTTTCTATCGTTCAAGCTCCTGTTTTTTTAGTCTGCGGTGAATCACTCCTCATGTCTCTGTAGATAGCCTCACATTCTGCTTTAGTTGTTTCCTGAGGAACAGTTGTGTCCTCCACTCCATTTTAACTTTCTTTACTGTAATTCCTTATATCTGTGTAGTGCTCTGACTTGAAGAACATACTCACCTTTTTGCATTGCACCTGGTCCCAGCAAATAAAAAAAAGTTCAGGAGTCTTACACAAATGCACGTCAGATAATGAGAGAAAGTAAAGAACCCTCCATGTACTCTCTTATAGCTCAGAGAGTGCGCGGCTTCCCCCAGCATAGCTGACATCCTGCTGGGCATGGCATGGACACCGGTCAACAGTTGGCCCAGGGGAAGGAGGAGGACAGGGTCCCTTTAACAGAGCCAGCCACCCTAGCATTTCACTGGTGCCTGAGACAGTGTCGGGAGCTGTGTTTCTGGCTGTATTTCTCTGTGTGGTCCCCCTTTGGAGATGAGCCCCGCCTCTTCCCCTGGGGCTGTCACTCAGCCAGAGCAGAATCAGTGTCAGCGCTGTCTGAGCAGGCTCCTTGCCTGTCACTAAGGCATGATTCACAGCTGAGTGATGCCCTCTGAAATCAGGGTGCAGAGCCCACGCCCATGGGCAGCCTCACCCGCTCTATTTTGGTGTTGGTTGTCACAGAATATGGGAGGAGCCATTCTCCTTGCCTCTGAGAGGCTCCTCCTACTTCCCCTTTACAACAGCCAGGCCAGCCCCTATTAAGAAGCCAGGGTAGAAGATTTATCTCTTAGCCCACCAGCTTCTACCTGCCAACTCCATGGGTGTAGCCTGAGAGATCAGAAGGAGGAGTAAATATAGGGGTAAAAACACATGTTTGATGGCAGACAGACCTGGATGTGAGTCTTGCTTTGCCTTTAACTAGCTGTGCTTCCTTGGGCAAGTTACTTAACCTCTCTGAACCTCGGTTTTCTCATATGTAAAATGGCAATGATGGTTTCTACCCCCCTAGTTATTCTGAGGATTAAATAGGCAGAAGGTAATTTGCAAAGTGCCTTACACACCTGGTAGGATCTCAGTAATGGCAACTTTAGCTTTATTAGAGGGAGCAGAGCATTTGTAGCCGCAGAAAGAAGTTTGGGGTTGGTGCTCTCTCTCTCAGGGAGGGAAACTTAGTGAAGGCTTCTGAGGATTGGGAGGAATTGCTCTGGAGACTAGAATGATGAAGCGTCTTTCTGCCATGTCTGTTCACTTTCCACATGCATCGCTCCTCTTTCAGGATGAAGTTTTATCTCTGTTTCTGCAGAAAGCTTATCCTAGGGTTTGTTTGAAAAATTGTTGCAGTTGGCCACAACCCTGCCATTTGATGTCAATAAATTCCACTTGTTTTCTCCCATGAGAAACTAAGCTATTTGGGCAAGGAAGGAAGAGATTTCAAGATTCACATTTATCGTCACTTTGTTGAGCAAGTATTTATTGCATATGCACTACATGCCAGACATCTTCATGGGTGCTGGGGATGATTCCCTGGCCCTACAGATTGCAGTCTGGTTGTACTAGAGGACTCTTATGGCCCCTTAAGAAGAACTGGGGAGTCTTCATTTGCCCCTGCTCTTGCACTGAAACCTTCAATGTCTACTTATTGCCAGAAGATACAAGGTCCTTAATGCCTAGATACCCTCAGCCTCCATCTACCTTGCCAGCCTTCCCTCCTCTGTGCTCTTAGAACACCCAGCTCTCCAAGACCCCTGTTCTTTCAGTTCCAAGGCAGCTTGTGCTTTTCTGCCTTGGCTCCTCCCTAGAATCCCAACTCCTATCAATCTTTGCCTGAGTTTCCCAGCTCTATCTTCCAGGACCAGCTCAAGGTGTCACCAGATCCCCAGGGATGCTTTTATAGTCACTGAGCACCATTGGGGTTATTCTGCCAGAGCCATGTAGACCACTCTATACCAGCAAGGTCTCATTTCACAGCCAGGCCACAAGCTTTGTGAGAACAGGACTGTGAACTGGGCTTCTTCAGCCCTCCTGATGTTATAGAGTGATGGATGCTGAAGAAATATTTACTTAGCTAGGCATGGTGGCACATCTGTAGTCCCAGCCACTCAGAAGCTGTGGCAGGAGGATCACTTGAACCCAGGAGTTCAAGGCTGCAGTAAGCTGTGATTACACCACGGCACTCCAGCCTCGGCAACAGAGCAAGACTCTAACAACAAAGAAAAGACATTTCATATATTTACTTAACTGGGACAAAGCTCCGAGTTAGATGTTCAAGTGGGGTAGTGGGGTCAAGCTCAAATGACCTCCCCCTTTCTGGAAGGTCATGAAATGACCTGCCAGGAGGCCTGCCCTCTTGTAAACATTCTAGGCCCTATTGTACTAGAGGATATTCCCCAAGTGCTTTCTACTATTTGAGAAGCCTTGGTGGGGATATTCTTGTCAAAGCTACTTTACGGCTGTTGCTTTTGTAGAACCTGCAGCCAGCTCTGGATATTTTTATGTGAAGCTATTATTTCACCACTTCTTGCCAACTTTTTCATTAATACATATATCGTCCTACACTGACCACAGTTGCAGTTCAGGGCCAGATTCTGAAGCTTGTCCTTAAAGGCATGAGCTTCAGTCATTGATTCAGTGGTGGTCCCATTGACCCCAGCTCCCCTCAAGGCTGCGCATTCACGAGGGTGCAAGTCATGACCACTTGCAAATTCATGTTGCGAGTGTCTTTCATTTTGTTTGTTTGTTTGAGACAGAGTTTCGCTCTTGTTGCCCAGGCTAGAGTGCAATGGCACGATCCCGGCTCACTGCAACCTCTGCCTCCCTGGTTCAAGCGAATCTCTTGCCTCAGCCTCCTGAGTAGCTGGGATTACAGCATGTGCCACCACGCCCGGCTAATTTTGTATTTTTAGTAGAAACAGGGTTTCTCCATTTTGGTCAGGCTGGTCTTGCATTCCCTACCTCAGGTGATCGGCCCGCCTTGGCCTCCCAAAGTGCTGGGATTACAGGCGTGAGCCACCGCGCCCGGCTGTGGTATGCCTTTATGCAGTGTGTGATAGTTTTCCTGTATTTACTAGACATCAGATTGTGACTGCTCCCATAGATTTGGCAGTTGAAATACCCACAACCTCAATGTGTCCTGCTTTGAAAAGTTGTATGTTTGTGTTCACTTATGAAAACCACACTTGTGAACTAATTAACTTGTTTTACGTTCTTAAGGAAGCTGAGGGGAGGGTGTTATGACCACATCAAAGGCCCAAACAGTACCTTTGGTTTTCCTCTGAAGGCAGAATCACCCCTGAAATGGATCAGGCTGTAATCCACTTTACTTTCTGCTTTTTAAATTCCTACTTTCAGTAATAGCCTTCCTGGTTTCTAGGAATGTAGAATGGAAATGAAGTCATAATTAAAGGTAGTAAGGAAGGGTTTTTTTTGTTTGTTTGTTTGTTTGTTTAATAGGAAACTGGTAGTTAACCCTTTAAAAAATGAACAGAGGCCAGGTACAGTGGCTCATACCTAGCACTTTTGGAGGCTGAGATGGGAGGATCACTTGAGGCCAGGAGCTTGAGACCAGCCTGGGCTACAAATGAGATCCCCCACCCTCTACAAAAAAATTAAAAATGTGCTGGGCATGATGGTGCAAGCCTCCCCTAGCTACTGGAGAGGCTAAGGTGGGAGGATCACTTGAGCCCAAAGGCTGCAGTGAGCTATGATTGTGCCATTGCACTCCAGCCTGGGTGACAGGGCAAGACCCTGTTTTTTTTTTTTTTTTTTTTTTTTTTAAGAAAAATTATAGATAAGTAAATTGAATGATTGCTACCTGGTGTTCCCTTTGGGTTTTCCCACAGTGGATCCATAAGCTGAGCAAGGACCTTGCCCACCAGGTGTAGCTATTCTTTCTCCCTGTGCTTGTGTAATACACAGCATATACATGCCTTCTTCCTCGAGTTAAGACATAAATGCCCAACAGATATGTGTCTTTCTCCTTTATGCCTCTGAACCGATTTCCTCATGTACAAAATGGTGCCGATAATTACTTTTCTCATAGAGTTGTTTAAATGTTTTCTCATAGGAGGTTTAAATGAAATGGTACATGTGAAGTGCTTAGCAGAGTATCTGATTTGTAGTCAATGCACAATCTGTATCAGCTATTGCTATAATTGGTGGTGTCATTGGTTTGCTAAGATTTCTTGGCCTGCATTTTGGCCCTGGCTGGGCCTTGACTCCTCAATACATGTACAGATGCTCCTTGACTTAAGATGGGGTTATGTCCAGATAAGCCCATTGTAAATTGAAAATATAAATCAAAATGCACTTAATACACCTAACCTACTGAACGTCATAGCTTAGCCTAGCTTACCTTAAACATGCTCAGAACACTTACATTAGCCTACAATTGGACAAGATCATCTAACCCAAAACCTATGTTATAATAAAGTGTTGAATATCTCATGTAACTTATTGATTACTGAAAGTGAAACACAGAATGGTGGTGTGGGTACTTGAAGTACTGCTGCTACTGAATGTGTATGGCTTTCCCACCACTGTAAAGTCAAACATCATAAGTCAGGGACCAGCTGTCTCCAGCATTCCTCCTTCGCAGCTTTGGGAGGGGGTGGTGCTGGCATGAGAACTAAGCTGAGGAACCTGTAGCGGTGGCTCCACCAGCCAACAGGCCAAGACAGCTGCACACCAGAGGCCTTGGCCCAGCTTAAGAAATGGAACTTCTGGGGGCCAGGTGCAGTGGCTCACGTCTGTAATCCCAGCACTTTGGGAGGCTGAGGTGGGCGGATCACCTGAGGTTGGGAGTTCAAGACCAGCCTGACCAACATGGAGAAACCCCGTCTCTACTAAAAATACAAAATTAGCCGGGCATGTTGGTGCATGCCTGTAATCCCAGCTACTTGGGAGGCTGAGGCAGGAGAATTGCTTGAACCCGGAAGACAGAGGTTGCGGTGAGCCGAGATCATGCCATTGTACTCCAGCCTGGGTGATAAGAGTTAAACTCTGTCTCAAAAAAAAAAAAAAAAAGAAAAAAGAAAAAAAGAAAAGAAATGGAACTTCTGGCAAAAAGTGATTTGTTGAGCATTCTGAGGCTCAATACAAAGAAACTCATTTGTGTAGGTATGAACTTTGGAAAAAACCACCTAAAGAAGTATGTGAGGTTTTCTGTTGTGGTAGGGTTCAAAGCAAGTTGAAATGGCGAAGAGTACAGATATCAAGAAAAAGGTCCAGGGAGACAAGATTTGTCTTTTTTTTTTTTTTTTTTTTTTTTTTGAGATGGAGTTTCACTCTTATTGCCCAGGCTGGAGTGCAATGGTGCGATCTCGGCTCACTGCAACCTCCACCTCCTGGGTTCAAGCGATTCTCCTGCCTAAGCCTCCCAAGTAGCTGGGATTACAGGCATGCACCATTACGCCCAGCTAATTTTGTATTTTTAGTAAAGACAGAGTTTCTCCATGTTGGTCAGGCTGGTCTCGAACTCCCAACCTCAGATGATCCACCTGCCTCGGCCTCCCAAAGTGCTGGGATTACAGGCGTGAGCCACCACACCCAGCCCAAGATTTGTCATTTTAAAACCAAACAAAAAAGCCCTTGTATCGAAGTTTGGATAAGAACCTATCCAACCTTGGCCAATTTTGTTGAACTCTGTGGGTTTAGGAAACCCACAGAATTGCCTGAGGGGATTTTGTTGTTACTTTTTTGTTCAGCAGAAGAGTCTCCCTTTGAATAGAATTGTCTTTTAGGAAGAGAGAAAAGGAATGAGAGGTGTGTCTCCTGGCTGATCCAGCAGGCCCCACGCCCCTCATATCCTTATAGGGGCTTGTGCCAGGCATTGGCCTGAACGTTTTAGAAGCTGGCAGCAAAGCCAGTCCCTGAGTGACAGATATTTGTGGCCCCAGGATGAGGAGGGCCTCTCTCCCCTGCTGGGGCCCATGTGTTTCCGTGGCTGCAGCTTCAAGGCCTGGGTTTATTACTCAGTTTACCATTTAGTCTAGAACAGCACAGTGGCTCCTGATACTTTGGGGACAGCTTTGGATTGGAGCTGGTGAGATGGGCTTTTCACCTCTACTGGTGCTCAGTGTGGAAGCAGCAGCCCACCAAAGAGCTTCCATTTCCCTTCATTGTGAAACACCATGCTTTGGAAGGGACCCCAGGGTACATCAGAGTGTATGAGCCCCAGAAGCAGGCTGTGCCGTGGTCTGGAAGGTGGCAGCCCCGTGAGCCACCCAGACACCAGCTCCTGCTCATCTCATGCCTTCCCTCACCTCATCTGGATCAGAGGAGAAAAGCAAATCCACAAAAATCAACACAACTAGAGATCAATTGCTATGCCAGACCCAGTTAGTCTGGTGAGTGCCGCAGGTGTCTCCACACCTCAGATAATTGAGAATTAGGCCTCAGGACTTGCACAGCCAAGCACTGCCTGAGACTGGTCTGCAGTCGGCTTCCATAGAAAGATGCCGGAAGTGGATACCTGGTCCTGGGTGGTTTGCTGTAGGGGGTGATTTCCTCCATGAGGAAAACCAAAGAATCCAAAGCCCTCTGCCTGCAAGGAAAGTTCAGTGGGGAGGAGGCTGTGCTGGTCCTCAGCTCTCGCCAGGGTGGCAGTGTGGTGGGGTAGGCATATCACAGCAGCCTGGAGAGGAAACGGTGCTGAACCTGAGCCCTTCTGACCTTGGAAGTTTTGGTTTTAATGTATGTGAGACAGAGATGAGGCATGTGTCAGTCAGAGGCTGTTATCAGCCATTATAATAATAGTAGCCAGCATTTATGGAGGACTTGTGTTCCAGATCCTAAGGCAAGTGCTTTATGGAGATTTATTCATTTAGTGTTTAAAACAATCTTTTTCTTTTTTTGAAAATTTTTTGAGACAGGTTCTCACTCTGTCATCCAGACTGGAGTGCACTGGCGTGATCTCTGCTTAATCCAGCCTTGACTTCCCGGGCTCAGGCGATCCATCCACTTCAGCCTCCAGAGTAGCTGGAACCACAGGCACACACTACCAAGCCTGGCTAATTTTTGTATTTTTGGTAGAGACGTGGTTTTGCCATGTAACCCAAGCTGGTCTCGAACTCCTGGGCTCAAGTGATCCACCCTCCTCGGTCTCCCAAAGTGCTGGGATTACAACAATCTTATAAGGGACCCTAGAATCGCAGTTTGATAGATGAGGACATTGAGGCCTAAAGCAGTTAAGCAAAGTGCCCAAAGTCAAACAGCGAGTACATTGGGGGTTGGGAGAGTGAATATTTAGAACAATCCAGGCCAACAACTCTAAGCCCAGCTCTTATTCACCATGGGGAAGAGTAAATGAAATTAAATGAAATGATCTTCATAAAAGGCTTAATGCAGGCAGCAAGTAAGTGCTCGTTCAGTTACAATGAGATATCCCTGTTTTTCTGCGTATTTTATTGTCCTGCATTTTGTGCTAGGGGCCCTGATGTGGATTATTCTAGTCACATGCTAAAAATGTGCAGGGTTTTCAGTCTCTTTGTATTGTGGTGAAACTGCTGCTGATCTGCTTTTCCCACTATCGGTCAGCCTGGGCCTGCTTCCATTTTCACTTTGAGTTTTCAAAGGTCAGGGGAGTCCTGATAGATTGCCTTCTTATCTCCTAAGTGTTTTAGAGTGGTTTATTCATTTAACAACTGAAAGTGATTTTTTTTTTTTTAAAGAAACAATTACCTCCCTTGGTCAGCAGCAACATCTCCAGAGGTCAGCATCCCCCTCCTGGGGAAGGTTTGGCCTGCTGAGTCCAGGCTGGCTGCTAAGGGAACCAAGTCTCTTTTCTATCTCCAGGGCTAGCACAGGGCCTAGCTTGGGACAGGCACTGAAGGAAACAGTGGTTTGTGAATTTCAGCGGGGGGCTGTTTTGCAGTTCTGGACTTCAGAGACAAAGCTTCAAATTCCTATCCTTTCTCCAGACAGGTCCCCTGCTCTTCTAGAGTACTGAGGGATCTTGGCCACAGTCAGGTGGGGCTTTCCCAGACAACTTTTTTATAAGCCTGTGGAATGCCCTCTGCTGAGTCACCACGCTGATACCCAGGGCTGGGGTGTGTCTGCGAAGAACCGTGCTCTAGACATTCAGGGCTTGGTCCTGGGTCTGGGTGGGTGGCTGACCTTAGGTCTAACCATAGGCTTCAAGCTTTTATCTTTCACTGAGTCTGTGCCAAGCACATTCCGTAAATGATCTCATTGACTCTTCAAGAAAGTTAAGAGAATCAATATTGTTGTTCCCATTTTCACAGATAGATAATAAATCTGTAAAATCGCGTAAGACTAGGACATATTTTCTAGGATTATCCTTGCGGATCAAAGGTGATATCAAGTGGGATGTCAGGAGCAAGGGTGCTTGCAGTGTCAGTGATTTCTGTTGTTGGAGGAGGGGCAGGGTTATGGATGAGGAATGTGGGGTTTAGTAGGGTTAAGAGATTTGCCAGAGGCTGGGCGTGGTGGCTCACGCCTGTAATCCCAGCTACTCAAGAGGCTGAGGCAGGAGAATCACTTGAACCCAGGAGGCGGAGTTCAAGTGAGCTAAGATCATGCCACTGCACTCCAGGCTGGGCGACAGAGCGAGACTCCATCTAAAATATATATATATATTTGCCAGAGGTCAACAGGCTAGTCTCTAGTCCTTGTGCAGAAGCAAGATTTGAAATGGGTTGCTTGTTCTCACACGTCTCTTTGCTGGTCAGTGTAGAGATAAAGAACCCTCTCCCCACCTACAGTGTTCTTAAGAAGCCATGGTTATCTTGGGTGTGATGATCTTTGGAAGGTAGAAAGTTCCACTGGCAGGCATTTCCTCCTGGAGTCCTCAGCCTCCTTATCAGGCTCCCAGATTCGGACTGTCAGTGAGGTGGGCAGGGCTGTGGAGGGGAGAGGTCCTGTCACAAGAGACACCCAGCTTCCTCCCAGCTTTGGTTTACCTCAGGCCCGGCCTGAGGTGAAGTCCTCATTAGGTTACCTCCCGCCTAGCTGTGACTGGGTTAAGTTGTTGGACTTCTCTAAGGTTCAGCTCCCTGTTCTGGAAAATGAAGACAAGGACTGTGCCTGTCCTGTAGACTTTGAGGATTAGCTGAGGCAATGCCCGCATGAGCCACTTAGCTTGATGCCACATAAGTGCCCAGGAGACATCATCCTGTGGTGATTAGTTAGATCTGTCATACACCCTTACACCAGGAAGACCCCACCTGGTCATTCTTTTCCCCACAATCCTCTTCTCCCCTAGGATACCAATGCCTCTTCTTCCCTCAGAGTTAATGCAGTTACAACTATTCTAGAACTTTCTGACAGCATTCCTACTCCTTCAGCCACCCCCCTCCATCGCCGGGCAAAAATGCCATGGTCCAGCAGCCACTCAGCTCAGTGGGGTGGTACATACAGGGGCGCGTGACAAGGATGAGGTAAGTGCTGGATCACCAACCTCCCTGCCCCTCCTGTGGCTGCGTGTCAGATACTGTGTGCCAAGCTCCCTTCAGCCACTATCTCATGTAAAGCTCAGACCCCACGATTTCCGGAGTCCTAGAGTAGTCTGGGTGTCCTCGTGGTGGGAACTGGCTGTCCTCCTGGCCCCTTGCTCCCACCCTCCTGCCTTCTTGGTTCAGTGATAAGGCCTTAGATCAGGAGGGTGTGGCTAGGTCTGACTCAGGGGTGACCCAGAGGCACTTCACAGATCTGCGGCAGAAGGCCTCATCACAAGCATGACCGAATCTTGACTTTATTTATAAAAGGCAAAAGCCCACTCTTCTGTGCAGTTGTTGTGGGCCCCAGAAGTGAGGGGAACTCCATAGCACAGTTGAGGTGGGCAGTGGCCATGGAGAGAGATTTCCAACGCAGGGCCCGAGCCATCTCCTCGCAGCTTCTGCATTTTGCTTCTTTCATTTGTTGAAGCAAACAAGGGGCCAGGAGGCTCAATCAATGTGTGGAACTTTCACAGACCCTTCAGAAGAGTCCAGCTGTTCCCAGCAGCTCTTGGGGACTGTGGCCTGTTTCTGACTTAAACTCAGCCTTAGATTCTAAATTCTTGATATGGTTCAGTGATGATGAAGGGGGGAAACATTTACATGTTAGAATGAAAAGGTAACCAATTTTACATTCTATCTAAAGGTGAATACAAGATGGGGATTATCTTGTTAACTTCTGAAGAAAATTGAGATGGGGGTCTCGCCATCTTGCCCAGGCTGGTCTTGATTTCCTGGGCTCAAGCGATCCTCCTGCCTTGGCTTCCCAAAGCGCTGTGATTACAGGCTTGAGCCATCATGGCCAGCTAGTCTTTTAATAATAACAATAAATTATCAGCATTGGAGCTCTGGATGTGGGAAATGCAAAACAGTCCTGCTGGGTCATCATCTCAAACCTGGACTCTTGGGAGAGATACCCTGTGGATCATTACATCTTTTCAATTCCTTCCACTCCTGTTTCCTCACCCCATTTGTGGTACTCAGGCAACAGAGATGTCCTCTGGCTGGAAATCCAGAGGATGAGGTGGGCACCCTTGGACTGTCCCTGGTTAAATGTCACCTCCTCTCCCCACCCCCTTTCCTGGCTCTCTCAACGCACATGGGGATGTTTAATGACATTCTCCTTTTCCCCTCGTTTAGGCCTTGGGAGCAGTGATATTAACTCACTCAGTCCACACAACTTTCCATGGAGATTACTGTAATCTGTTATTCCCGCTGTACAGATGAGGAAACTGAGTCAAAATAAATTATTTGCCCAAAGCCACACAGGAACTGCTAGAGCTGAGACTGGAACTCAAACCATCAGGCTCTCAAATCCTCCTTTTAGCCACCATGCCCTAATGCAACTCGAAACAGAAAAAGGACAGCTTGACTAAAAAGTCTCCCATTTCCTTTCCCCCTTGCCCTAAAAACCCTGTGAACTCAGCCTCTGAAGAGTTCAGCCCTTCTCTCAGGTGTGAGAAGTAATTTGGCAAAAGAGAAAAAAAATTAAAAAGAAGAAAAATAACCTAAAAAGGGGGGAAGGCCAGGTACGGTGGCTCACACCTGTAATCCCAGCACTTTGGGAGGCCAAGGCGGGCGGATCATCTGAGGTCAGGAGTTCGAGACCAGCCTGGCCAACATGGTGAAACCCCCCTCTCCACTAAAAACTTAAAAAATTAGCTGGGTGTGGTGGCGGATGCCTGTAATCTCATCTATTCAGGAGGCTGAAGCAGGAGAATCACTTGAACCTGGGAGGTGGAGGTTGCAGTGAGCCGAGATCACACCACTGCACTTCAGCCTGGGTGACAGAGTGAGACCCCATCTCAAAAAAAGGCGGGGAGGAGAATGAAGATTTCGGCCCAAGTGCTCAGGAGCAGGGGCCTCTTGATAGAACTGGGCACTGGAGGTGAGCAACCCAGATGTCAATTATTAGGAGATCTTCTCTGCTTCTGGCTTTCCCAGTGCTGACAGGTGGGATCCTTGTCAGGCAGCAGGGCAGCACTGAAGGAAGCAAAGCCGTTTCTTGGGGGCCCCACTCAGTGAGTGAAGCCATAGCTTGTGCAGTGGCCAGGTGGATCGCTCGAGACTCCCTGGAATTGCAGCCTCCAGCTTTGAGCTGCTCCTGCTGGCCGCTTGGCTTCACAGTCACCACCAGCCGATGGAGACGGTTCATCAAATGGAAAAGTTTCGGTGACTGTGGGAAGGAGGGCATTCTTTGCGAGCTCTCTTGGCTTTACACTTTAAAGAGGGCAGTGGGGGGAATGCACACACAACCTTTTTCTTCTCATCTGTTCTCAGAAACCCAGGGGAAAAAAATGGGCTATAATGAGTAGCAGTTGTGGTTATGATGATTTTCATATGAATTGTCAAATCTTCTGTGTCCATTAACTATCTTTTGTGGTGAGGAAATTGATTATGGAACTGAAATAAGAAACTCCACCTGACTATTAAGTGATAATTCAGTCCCCAGCCTCTTGGCTCTTTATCCAGTATTTAGGGGGGAAATGCCTCTGTGGAAACAGATGCCTTGCTTTTTTGGGAAGACAGTCCATTTGAATGAACTAGAATGTCTTCCTGCCAGGAGTGGGTCTCCAGTGGATCCTTGTCAAGAGGTGGGGGAGGGGCAGAGTGACAGCTGCAGTTGGCCCCCCAAATGTCAGTGTTCCCTGTAGATTCTTGTCAAAGGGCTTACCTCGTACTGTGGTACAAGTCAGGGCTACACAGAAAGGCCTGTCTTGCAGTCTGTTTGCATAGCTGTGTCTTGCTTGCAGAAAGCCCCGGGTGGGGGTAGAAAAAAGGCAGAGACAGGCCGGGTGGTGGCTCAGACCTGTAATCCCAGAACTTTGGGAGGCTGAGATGGGAAGATCACTTGAGCTCAGGAGTTCGAGACCAGTCTGGGCAACATAGTGAGACCTCACCTCTACTAAAAATACAAAAATAGCTGGGGCTTGGGGGCGCATGTCTGCAGTCTCAGCTACTCAGGAGGCTGAGGTAGGAGGATTGCTTGAGCCCAGGAGTTTGAGGTAAACCGTGATCATAATACCACTGCACTCCAGCATGGGGCACCCTGTCTCCAAAAAAAAATAAATTTAAAAAAAGACAGCAGCATCAATGAAGCCTTGGTTGGCTCAGCCTCAGGGTAGACTGCATTATCCATCCCTGACAAGCTCAGAGGTGGGCGCACAAACCCAGGCGCTACGTAAAGGCCAAGACAGTGAATCATCCACTCAGAGCCCACTTCACCTCCCACCCCTGGTCCTTATCAGGTGTTGTCGTCCCACAGATACTTACTGGGTACCTCCTGGGTCCCAGACAGTCCTGGCTTTCATGGAGCTTCTAATCCAGCAGGGAAAACAGATGTCAGAGATTACAAAAAGAATGTGGGCTGGGCGTGGTGGCTCATGCCTGTAATCCCAGCACTCTGGGAGGCCGAAGCAGGCAGATTATTAGGTTAGGAGATCAAGACCATCCTGGCTAACATGGTGAAACCCCGTCTCTACTAAAAATACAAAAATTCAGCCAGGTGTGGTGGCACGCGCCTGTAGTCCCAGCTACTCAGGAGGCGGAAGCAGGAGAATGGCATGAACCCGGGAGGCCAAGGTTGCAGTGAGCCGAGATTGCATCATTGCACTCCAGCCTCGGCGACAGAGTGAGACTCCGACTCAAAAGAAAAAAAAAGAATGATGATTAATGGGATCAAACACAAGGAAAGAATAGTCTTGGGAAAGAGCGAGGCTTGAATCCCAGCTCAGGCTGTGAGCTCAGGCCAGTCACTCTGCTTCCATGTCTTAGTTTCATCATTTATAAAGTGGCTGTTGCAAGACTTAATGGCTCATATATGTTGAGTACTTGGCACGTGGTAGGTACCGGATTGGTATTTGTTCAAATGCACATGAATAAGTCATGGCACATCTCCATTCAACAAATATTTATTGAGTACCTACTGTATCCCAGGTACTGTGCTAGATACTAAGAATATAGCAATGAATAAAACAGACAAAAGCCCTGCCCTCATGGAGATTACATAGTATTTGGGAAGACAGGCAATAAAATAATAGAATGAATCATATATTTGATGGTTAGTTTTATGGAGAAGTTATTGCAGAGAATCTGACTAGGGAGAGCTGGAAGTGGGCAAATACAGGTCAGAGATTTGGGAAAAGCCCTGAAGGTCGTGAGGGACCTAGCCATGCAGATGCCAGGGGAAAGGAATACTTCAGGAAAAGGAACAGTAAGTTCAAAGGCCCTGTGGCTAGCATGTTTGAGAACAGCAAGGAGGCAGCTAGTGTGGGTAGCCAGAGAGGCTGGGAGTATGGGAGATAATATAGGGCTTTGAAGCTAATTTAAATATTTTTTAAAATTTATTTAATTTTGTGGGTATATAGCAGGTATATATATTTATGAGGTACATGAGATATTTTGATACATGCATACAATGAATAATCACACATCAGGGCAAATGGGGTATCAATTTAAAGACTTAGTGAGAGTGTGGTCCAGGGTGGTGGTGGGTGGCATAGCGTTTTTTGTTTGTTTTTGAGTGGAGTTTCACTCTTGTTGCCCAGGCTGGAGTGCAATGGTGCGATCTCGGCCCACTGCAACTTCCACTTCCCACCTCCCAGGTTCAAGCGATTCTCCTGCCTCAGCCTCCCAAGTAGCTGGGATTATAGGCGCCCACCACTATGCCCAGCTAATTTTTGTATTTTTAGTAGAGATGGGGTTTCACCATGTCAGGCTGGTCTCAAACTCCAGACCTCAGGTGATCTGCCCACCTTGGCCTCCCAAAGTGCTGGGATTACAGAAGTGAGCCTGGCCTTTAGTGGGTTCTTACTGAAGCCAGCCTGAACTGGGAAATGTCCAGATTTATACAAATAATGATTCAGAAAATGAGACTACCCTTTAAGAAGACCATATTCTGATCATAATCATAAATCTGGCAAATTCATTTATGGAGATAACAGGAAAACAATTTGAAATCAGAATATCCAGGAAAGGCCAGGCGCAGTGGCTCACGCCTGAAATCCGAGCACTTTGGGAGGCTGAGGCAGGAGAATCACTTGAACCTGGGAGGTGGAGGTTGCAGTGAGCTGAGATGGCGCCACTGCCCAGCCTGGGCAATAGAGCGAGACTCGGTCTAAAAAAAAAAAAAAAAAAAAAAAGAATATCCAGGAAAATCACGAGGACACAGCCGTGGTAATCAGTATGAAAGCATGAAAGCCCCCAGTATGGAATGTTTACTGTGTATCTATTGCATATTTAATCTTCATAACAACCTGATAGAGGTGGGTACTGTGGGCTCCATTTTACAGATGAGAAAACCTCAACACACACAGAGGGGTTCGGTAACTTGTCCAAGATGATCCAGAGGTACATATTCTGTCCCCAAAGCCCCTACTCTTGGCCACGACTCCATAAAATACTTCTAAACAGCTTGCTTCCCTTGTACAGTTTAAATGATTTTGTCTTTTTGCATACATTCAACTTTCTCATAAACTTGAGGTTCACCAAGGAGAGAATTATTTCCCCCACAGATAATAGCTGCCAAAATAGAGTCCGAATCCCTGAGGGTTCCCAGATGGCTGGGCACACCCAAGCTGCAGAGGCTGTCTGGAATGATTAGGGCAGAGGAAGGTGCTAATCTATCTAGGAGCGAGCAGCTTTGCGGCTGATGCGATTTCGTTTATCTACCCTCCTCGGTTCTTTGTCTCTTTATCCTCCTGTCTCCCTCCTGGCCTGGCTAACAGGCCTGATGTATCGGCATCTCAATCACTTCTGCTTCCCCAGGAGATCAAGGCCTGGCCTTGGGCCCTGAGGCCTCCCGGAGTAAATCAGTGGATTGAGGGGAGGGGGTGCCGGGGAGGCATCAAAAGAGAATGGGGTCCTCTGGCTTCAAGCTACCTAAAATCTGCTGCTTAAAATGCTGCTGTTAGGGAAAACTGGCGGCACAGAGTCCTTCTCCAGCCCTAGAAATAACCTCTCTGAAACCTGTCGAGTGACCCACCCCAAATTAGAAAGAATTTTTTGTCTTAAAAGGCACATTAAAGAGAGTCCTGTGTTTTCTGCCCTGTGCCTTCTGGAGGTAGAAGACAAGTGTGAATTCTCTACCCTTCTACAACAAGAGCAAAGGAAGAAGAAAATTTCCATATTTTCTCAGCTATTTCAAAACACATTTTTTTACCTTTCATATGAAGTGACTGTTCCAAATGACCTCTTCTTTCCAGGGAAAAAACTCTATTTTAATACTTTTTCTCCCCTCCTCTTTCTCCAGCCCTGTCTCTTTTTTCTATTTTTAATCTCCCTCTGCCAACAAGAATATCCACGGACTTCCCACCTGGCCTTTACCCTTCTCTTCCTTGCAGGGGTGTACCCACCAGCCTGCACCCGATGTCCACGATGTCTGTCCACCCCAGAACCCAGCAGCATCTCTCCCCGTCTGGCGCTCAGCCTGCTTCTGAGTGTGGGCAGCAGGGAAGCTAGGCGCTGTGCTTGCCCAGACCACACAGCTGTCTCTGTTTAGGGCTTTGCTGCCTGAAAGTTTGTTTCAAGGAGGAACAGGCTCTGCTCTGCCTTCTCAGCTTGGTCTCCTTACCTGGGGCACAAAGAGTGTTCACTTAGCTAGCGCTGACCTCCTGCAGCTAATTAATGCCTCTAGCATGGATCAGAAAAAGCTCTGCAAAGTGCAATTAGCGATGGATCACTTGTTGCTACTTCATAGGAGTGGTGTCAGCAGTATTCATGGCTTGTGGCTTAAAAGCCAGAAGGAGATCCCCAATCAGGTCCTGGATGGCTCTGATAGGCAAATCCTCTTAGGAAGGTGGGATCACAGGCACCAATTCCTTTTGACCTCCCCCGCTCCCCTTCCTGTGGGGCTTATTGAACAGAGGCTAATTCATTCAGTATTGGAGATGTAGCAGTTTATTGTGGGGTTCAAGATCCTTGTCATCTCTGAGGATAACAGAGAGAGCCCTTTTATTGAACTCTTGCTATGTGTCAGGCATTGGGTTTAGTGCTTTATGCGATATGTTCATAACCACTACAGAGAAGAAACCATATCCGCTTTACAGATGAAGAAACTGAGGTCTAGAGGTTAAGTACTTACCCCGGGTCATGGTCAGATATTTGGCTGATGGCATTCATTTCTTTTCTAGAAATGTCTTGAGCATCTATGTGGCTGACATTTTTCAGGCAATCCCTGCTATGCAGAGCTTGCATTTTAGAGGGAGTAGGGGCACCAGATACTGAGCAAGTAAGCAAATTAATAAACACAATAATCTCGGCCGGGCACGGTGGCTCACGCCTGTAATCCCAGCACTTTGGGTGGCTAAGGCAGGCGGATCACAAGGTCAGGAGATCGAGACCATCCTGGCTAACACGGTGAAACCCCATCTCTACTAAAAATACAAAAAAAAAATTAGCCAGGCGCCGTGGCGGGCGCCTATAGTCCTAGCTACTTGGGAGGCTGAGGCAGGAGAATGGCGTGAACCCAGGAGGCAGAGCTTGCAGTGAGCCAAGATAGCGCCACTGCACTCCAGCCTGGGCGAAGGAGCGAGACTCTGTCTCAAAAATAAATAAATAAATAAATAAAATAAACACAATAATCTCTGTATAAGTGCTTCAGGGAAACTAAAAGGGCCCTCTTCTGTGGCAGAACTGGGATTCCCAGTCTCTGAGGTTAAGCAGGAGCAGGTAGCATTACCCTGTAAGCTGGGAGTCGCAATAGGCAATTAGTTACCTGACTGTCCCAGGGCTTGGCACTGCCTGGTAGCCCTGCCTTTTCATAAGGAAAAGATTCCGCACAAAGCACTTTACCTAGGTTTTGTGAGAGGCGGAGCCAGAGCTGGCATCCGAGGTGTTCTCACAATGCTGGACTTTGAGGCACAGGAGAGAATTGCATTTCTCCTCTGAGCAGTGGAACCAGCCCTGGTGCCTCCCTTGCCCAGCCTCACCCTGGGACCCTGGGTGTGAGTAGTTAGTCTTGTTATCAGTGAGAGTAACCCAGGAATCTCCCTGATGGGGAAATCCCAGGTAATTTACTGTGTCTCTGATATTCCGGTTACAGCCTCTGCTCTAGAAAGGCCAGGGAGGGGAGAATCTAAAAGTTCTCCATTTCTCGCTTGAGATGGCATCCCCCCATGCTTTCCTTAGGCCTCCTTGAGTAAGGTGTCTGCAAATAGCTTCTCAGCATGACTTCACCCGGAAGCTCATCTGAGTGACTCACAGCCTGCTTTAGGCACCTCCTCCAGGGAGACGCTCTTACCCTTGCCCCCACCCCAACAGGGGAGGGGAGGGGAGAAGGGAAACCCCCTAACTGAGCCACGGAGAAGGCCTTGCCAGAGCACTGTGGAAAATACCTGCAGCCCAGCTTGGCCCTGCTTCAGGTGCCCTGGGATGTATGGTTTCTCTAGTCTTCTGAGAGGGATCAAGCTGACAATTCAAATTTGAGGGAGCGATGACCCTGGAAACTGTGTAGGTCTTAAAAAGAAATATATATCCAAACACACTGACCTGAAAAGATGTCCACAAAATACAGGATTCAGCATTAGGTGAAAAATAATTTCATTATGTTCCTGTTTCTCAAATTCGGTTTGTGATTTTAAAAAATTGATAGGTTAGTACATGTATTTGTACATGTACTATTTGTACTAAAAGCCTATTTGAAGAAAAATTATAATATATTAATAATAGTTATCTCTGGGAGGTAGTATTAAAAGAAACTTTATTCATTATTCCTTTCTGATTTTTAAAAAATAATCATAATTACCTTTATAATAAAAAAAAAAAAGGTGGGCCAGGTACAGTGGTTCATGCCTATAATCCCAGCACTTTGCAAGGCCAAGGCAGATTGCTTGAGCCCAGGATTTCAAGACCAGCCTGAGCAACATGGTGAGACCTTGTCTCTACAAAACATTTTTAGAAACTTAGCTGGGTGTGGTGGTGTACCCCTGTGGTCCCAGCTAATTGGGAGGCTGAGGCAGGAGGATTGCTTGAGCCCAGGAGTTTAACGCTGCAGTGACCTGGGAGGCGGAGGCTGCAGTGAGCCAAGGTCACACCACTGCACTTCAGCCTGGGCAACAAGGAGGCTCTGTCTCAAAAAAAAAAAAAGCTGCAGTGAGCCATGATCATGCCATTTCCCTTCTGCCTGGGTAATAGAGCAAGACCCTGTCTCAAAAAGAAAGGGTTGTTTTTTTGTTTTGCTTTGTCTTCAAAAAAATAAAAAGAAAAATCCTCATGCACCAAGCCCAGGTGTCCTAATTGTGTCCTCATTATTAAATGCCTAACTTCCCGTGGTGGACTGTTAGCAGGAAGCGACTGGGATGGACTTAACATTCACTTAGCAAACAGCTACCTCCCTAGCCACTGGAGGACCAAACCACTATGACAGGGTGTCTCCCTTCAGTGGCTCCCAGCATGATGGAGGGGGTAGTATATGTTTTGCGGGGCATTTGGGGTTTTGGGGGGAGGTTAGGGGGTTTTTTGAGACAGAGTCTCCTTCTGTCACCCAGGCTGGAGTGCAGTGGTGTGATTATGGCTCACTGCAGCCCTGACCTCACAGGCTCAAGAGATCCTCCCACCTCAGCTTCCCAAGAAGCTGGGACCATTACGCCTGGCTAATTTTATTTATTATTATGTATTTTTTTTTAAGAGACAGAGTCCCACTATGTTGCCCAAACTGGTCTCAGTGATCCTCCCACCTTGGTCTCCCAAAGTTCTGAGATTACAAGTGGGAGCCACCATGCCCCCTGACCAACCACCACCCTGCACCCAAGGCCAAGGGCTCGATAAATACTTTGCAAACAAATGGATATGTAAATGAGTAGATACTAAGTGGTCTGTGAGAGAAGGCTACAGATTGTGGTGGGGCTTCAGAAGGTCTCGAGAGGTCCCTTGCTGGGGATTAGGTTAGGCCTCGTGATGGTGCTTCTGGGATATTCCTTTTCTCTAGGATTTAAATGTCTCATTTAAGAACAATTTTTTTTTTTTTTTTTGAGACAGAGTCTCCCTCTATTGCCCAGGCTGGAGTGCAGTGGCGCGATCTCAGCTCACTGCAGCCTCCGCTTCCCAGGTTCAAGTGCTTCTCATGCCTCTGCCTCCCAAGTAGCTGGCGCTACAGGCGTGCACCACTATGCCCTGCTAATTTTTTGTATTTTTAGTAGAGATGGGGTTTCACCATGTTGGCCAGGCTGGTCTTGAACTCCTGACCTCAAATGATCCACCCACCTAGGCCTCCCCAAGTGCTGGGATTACAGGCATGAGCCACCACTCCCAGCATAAGAACAATTTTAGATTTACATGAAAGTCGCAAGAGTATTACAGAAAGTTTCCAGATACCCCACACCGTTTCCCCTATTAACATTATTAACTAAAGTTCATACTTCTTTAGGATTTCCTTAGTTTTTACCTAATGTCCTTTTTCTGTCTCAGGAACCCATGCCATATTTAGTTGTTATATGTCCTTAGATTCTTCTTGGCTGTGACAAGACTTTCTTTGTTCTTGGTGAGCTTGACAGTTTAGAGGAGAGCTGATCAGATATTTTACAGAATATCTTTCAGTCTAAAGTTTTTCTCATGACTAGTGTGGGGTTATAGGGTTTTTTGCGGGGAAGTCCACAGAGGTAAAGTGTCATACTCATCATATCAAGAATACACACTATCGGCCGGGTGCGGGGCTCACCCCATCTCTACTAAAAATACAAAAAATTAGCTGGGCATGGTGGCATGCGCCTGTAATCCCAGCTACTTGGGAGGCTGAGGCAGGAGAATCGCTTGAACCCAGGAGGCGGAGTTTGCAGTGAACTGAGATTGCGCCATTGCACTCCAGCCTGGGCGACTGAGTGAAACTTCGTCTCAGGAGAAAAAAACAAGAATAAGAAGAATACACACTATCAACATGACTTGTCACTGATGATGTTAACCTTGACCACCCGATAATGTTTGTCTGGTTTCTCTACTGTCAAGTATTATTCCCCACTCCCGCCCCTCAGGCCACGTCCACTCTGTAGTCTTTAGAGTGAAGTCACTGTGTGCATTCCATAGCTAAGGGATGGGAAGTTATGCTCTACCTCCTGGGGGAGGGTGGTATCTATTAATGCATAGATTAATTGGAAGATTGATTGGTTTATTCTCCCCTAGTTATTTTTTCAATCAGTAAGCATGCATATATGGGTATTTATTTTATACTTTGGGTCATTATGCAATATTGTGTTATTTATTTTGTTATGCAAATTGTTCCGGCTTTGCCCGTTGAGAGCGCTTTCGGTTGGCTCCCATCTCATCATTTTAGGATTCTTTGAGCACTCTTACTTTCTGGTACCACAAGATGCTCCAAGCTCATTTTCTGTTTTCCATGCCCTGTTCCTAAAATCAGTCAATTTCTCGAAGGAGCTCTGGTTCCTTTTATTGAAGAATGCTATTAGAATCTAGGATCTGCTGTGTGCGGTGGCTCATGCCTGTAACCCCAGCACTTTGGGAGGCCAAGGCGGGAGGATTGCCTGAAGCCAGGAGTTCAAGACCAGCATAGGCAACAAAGTAAGACCCTGTCTCTACAAAAAAGAAAAAGAAAAAGAGAAACCAGAATCTGGGCACTGGATATACTCCTTGCTACTGGAGTGTCTGGGACATTCCTTTTGAAAGAAGGTTTTCGGAAACTAGGTAAAGAATTTGCAGATCATACTGAGATTTCATGATGGAAATAAGAGGAAAAGGACTGGAAGAGGCACTGTAAGCCTCTTGTCATATCAACAACTTCAGGCAGACACCATGGAAGGTCCTGTGGCATCTGTCTGGTGGGAGGGTATTATAAACAGTCAAATAAATGACCACAGATGCTTTAGGAAGGGGCCATCAGCATTTAGGGACTGTAAGGGGGCAACTCTCCCCATCGTCAACTTACCAGAGCCTTCCCCGTCCATGTCCTTGTTCCAGGTACCATTTTTGAGTCCATCCTGTGTTCCAGGCACTGCCCTAGGTTCTCACTCAACCCTCAGGGCTCCCCGAAAGTTATTTTAGGTATTGTTGGCCCCGTCTTACTGCAGAAAGGCTGAGGACTTGTCTGGGTAAGTGACTAACCCCTCATTCAAACCCAGGTACAACCCTCAAATTCTCCCTCACTGAGCTGACTGCCACTTAACGTGGTTTGGGAACTTCTTAGCTTCAAAATGCAACACTCCCCCTTTGATAGAGATGTGGATGTTAGTGCAGGCAAGGACTATGGTGTCACCAAGGTCACCGGTCCCCCTGCTCTGATCACAGCAGTCATCACAGGGAACTGTAAAGAGGTAGGGTGTGTTTGCGCATGCATATGCGAGTGCTGAGTGCGTGTGCCACCTCCCACCTACAGGCTTCCCAGGAGCTTCAACAGAGAACCCTTGCCCATTGCCTGGCAGGTAGCTGTATCCGACTAGGGGCCCTGCTGTTGAGAACTGAACAACAGTGAGCTTCAGAAGAGAGGAACGTGAACATATCTAGAAAAGCCATAGGAAAGTGGCTGGCAAAACTGAAACCAGTGGCAAGAACTGGGTAGACATTTAAAGGCCCGTTCCAAAGATAGCTAATGCCATAAGAAAATGCTGTTTGGTGTAATAAGTGAAATGAAACAACACTGTAGGTTTAAAAATATATGAACAATATTTAACAAGTATCAATACTTCTCTCTAAGTGATGGGATTATGGGTGATTTTTATTTTCTACCTTGCATTTGACTGTATTTTTTATATTTTTCTGTAGAAAACATGCATTAATTATTCTTATAGTGCTAAAGTAATTTAATATGAAACTAGTGAGAGAGCTTTATTCTTAAGGGTCATCCTAACTTTGTGTTCAATGTGCTTCCATTTTATGTGCCTCTTCCGTGGCCTTTGTGGTTGCACTTGTTTTAAGGAAACCCATTCTAGCACAGAAGTCACTGCCGATTTGGTAGCAAAGAATAAATAATTTTCTTTCTTTTTTTTTTTTTTTTGAGATGGAGTCTCACTCTGTCACCCAGGCTGGAGTGCAGTGGTGCGATCTCTGCTCACTGCAAGCTCCACCTCCCGGGTTCACGCCATTCTCCTGCCTTAGCCTCCCGAGTAGCTGGGACTACAGGCGCCCGCCACCACACCTGGCTAATTTTTTGTATTTTTGGTAGAGACGGGTTTCATCGTGTTAGCCAGGATGGTCTTGATCTCCTGACTTTGTGATCCGCCCACCTCGGCCTCCCAAAGTGCTGCGATTACAGGCGTGAGCCACCGCACCCGGCCAGAATAAATAATTCTGTTAAAGAATCATCACTAAATGAGATACCACTTTCTTTTTCTTTTTTCTCTTTTTTTTTTTTTTCCAAGACGGAGTCTTGCTCTGTCTCCCAGGCTGGAGTGCAGTGGCGCGATCTTGGCTCACTGCAACCTCCGCACCCCCAGATTTAAGCAATTCTCCTGCCTCAGCCTCCCGAGTAGCTGGGATTACAGGTGCCTGCCCCCACACCCAGCTAATTTTTGTATTTTAGTAGAGATGCTGTTTCACCATGTTGGCCAGGCTGGTCTCGAACTCCTGACCTAAAGTGATCTGTCCACCTTGGCCTCCCAAACTCCTGGAATTACAGGCATGAGCCACTGCACCTGGCCCCTGAGATACCACTTTCTTAGGACTATAACCAAACAGACAGATAATAAGTGTTGGTGAGGATGTGGAGAAATTGGAGCCTTCATACACCACTGGTAGGAACGTAAAATGGTGAAGTCACTGTGGAAAACAAGCATGGTGGTTCCTCAAAAAATCAAACATAGGCTGGGTGCGGTGGCACATGCTGTAATCTCAGCATTTTGGGAGGCTGAGGCAGGCGATCACCTGAGGTCGGATGTCGAGACTAGCCTGGCCAACATGGTGAAATCTCTACTAAAAATATAAAAATTATCTAGGTATGGTGGCGGGCGCCTGTAATTCCAGCTACTCTGGAGGCTGAGGCAGGAGAATTACTTGAACCCAGGAGGCAGAGGTTGCAGTGAGCCAAGATCATGCTACTGAGCCAAGACTACACCACTGCACTCCAGCCTGGGCAACAAAGTGAGACCTTATCTCAAAAAGAAAACAAACAAAAAAGTAGGCCAAGTGTGGTGGCTCACGCCTGTAATCCCAGCACTTTGGGAGGCCGAGGCGGGCGGATCACCTGAGGTCAGGAGTTTGAAACCAGCCTGGCCAACATTGCGAAACCCTGTCCCTACTTAAAATACAAAAATTAGCCAGGTGTGGTGGCACGTGCCTGTAATCCCAGATACTCAGGTGGCTGAGGCAGGAGAATTGCTTGAACCTGGGATGCAGAGGTTGCAGTGAGCCAAGATCATGCTACTGAGCCAAGATTACACCACTGCACTCCAGCCTGGGCAACAAAGTGAGACCTTATCTCAAAAAGAAAACAAACAAAAAAGTAGGCCAAGTGTGGTGGCTCACGCCTGTAATCCCAGCACTTTGGGAGGCCGAGGCGGGCGGATCACCTGAGGTCAGGAGTTTGAAACCAGCCTGGCCAACATTGCGAAACCCTGTCCCTACTTAAAATACAAAAATTAGCCAGGTGTGGTGGCACGTGCCTGTAATCCCAGATACTCAGGTGGCTGAGGCAGGAGAATTGCTTGAACCCGGGATGCAGAGGTTGCAGTGAGCCAAGATCATGCCATTGCACTCCAGCCTGGGTGACAGAAGCAAAACTCCGTCTCAGAAAATAAAAAAAAAGAAGAAAAAAAAAGTTACAATTACCACACAACCCAGCAGTTCCACTCATATATACCAAGATAAATGAAAATGTATGTTCACACAAAAACTTGTACATGACTAGCAGCATTGTTTGTAATAGCCAAAAGGTAGAAACAATCCAAATATTCATCAATAATTGAATAGATAAACAAAATGTGGTATATCCATGCAATGGAATATCATTCGCCCACAAAAAGTATAGTACTGATACATGCTACAACATGGATGGACCTTAAAAACATTATGCCACATAAAAGAAGCCAGACACAAAAAGCCACATCTTGTGGGATTCCATTTATGTGAAATGTCCAGGAAAGGCAAATTCGTAGAGACAGAAAATAGCTTAGTGCTTTCTAAGAACAGAGGGAAATGGATAATGGGGAGAGACTGATGACTTCCAATGGGTACAGATTCTTTTTTTTTTTTTTCTTTTTTTTTTTTGAGATGGAGTCTCACTCTGTCACCCACACTGGAGTGCAGTGGTGCAATCTGGGCTCACTGCAACCTACGCCTCCTGGGTTCAAGTGATTCTCCTGCCTCAATCTCCTGAGTAGCTGGGATTACAGGTGTGCGCCACCATATCTGACTAATTTTTGTGTTTTTAGTACAGACGGGATTTCGCCATGTTGGCCAGGCTGATCTTGAACTCCTTTTTATTTTGGAGACAGAGTCTTTTTCAGGCTGGAGGGCAGTGGTGCCATCTCAGCTCACTGCAACTTCCGCCTCCTGGGTTCAAGCAATTCTCCTGCCTCAGGAGAGTAGCTGGGACTACAGGCGTACACTGCCACACCATGCTAATTTTTGTATTTTTAGTAGAGATGGGGTTTTGCCATGTTGGCCAGCCTGGTCACCAACTCCTGACCTGAAGTGATCCACCTGCCTCGGCCTCCCAAAGTGCTGGGATTACAGGTGTGAGCTACCATACCCATACCATACCAAACGTTTTCTTTTTGGGGTGATGAAAATGTTCTGAAATTAAATAGTGGTTATGGTTTCATACTCTGATATACTAAAAACAGCGAATGAAATGTTTTAAAAGGGTAAATTTTATAGCATGTGAATTATATCTCATTTTGAAAAAACAGCCTACTTGGACTCATGAACGCTGAGCCCAGTTTCTCTATACTGGAGTTGTGAGGAGCATGGTCCTACTCTGTGGCCTTGGGCAAGTAGCTTAACTTCTCAGGTTATTGTCCGTGTTTTATGTTAAAGCCATATGTGATACCATCATGTCACAGAGTCCTTAGGCAGTTTGTACTGACCCTGCCTGTAGTCTGCACTTGTTCATTGCTCCTTAAGGAGGCAGCTTCCTCATTTGTGTGAGGGGATCTTGGTTTTGCTTTCTATTCCCATAGGAGAGCTCCTCTTTTAAAACATCCCTTCCAGGAGACTGGGCTCTGGATCAAGGAAGGGCAGTGGTGGCCCATCCTGCCAAGCTATTCCCAATGTTTATTTGAGGCAATAAAACTCAAATAGGTAGTGGCTTCTTTTTTTTTTTTTTTTTTTTTTTAATGGACTCTCAGCTCAGTCTTTCACCCAGGCTGGAGAGTAGTGGTGCAATCTCAGCTCACTGCAATCTCTGCCTCCCAGGCTCAAGTGATCCTCCCACCTCAGCCTCCCAAGTATCTGGGACTACAGGCGCACGCAACACTCGGCTAATTTTTTGTATTTTTGGTAGAGACGGGGTTTCACCATGTTGCCCAGGCTGCTCTCAAACTCCTGAGCTCAGGCAATCCACCCGCCTCGGCTTCCCAAAGTGCTGGGATTACAGGCGTGAGCCACCGCACCTGGCTTGATAGCGGCTTCTAAAACCTATAGTTACTTGGAATGTCCAGGGACTTCTAAGCTCAAAGCACTCATGTAACACAGGTTCTTATTTTTCAGATACTTTCTTCTTTCTCCTTTTCTCTGCCCACCCCACCAGCCCTTTCTTTTTATTTTATTTATTTATTTATTTTTGAGGTGGAGTTTCACTCTTGTTACCCAGGCTAGAGTGCAATGGCGCGATCTCGGTTCACCGCAACCTCTGCCTCCCTGGTTCAAGCAATTCTCCTGCCTCAGCCTCCCGAGTAGCTGGAATCACAGGCATGTGCCACCACACCGGGCTAATTTTGTATTTTTAGTAGAGACGGGGTTTCTCCATGTTGGTCAGGCTGATCTCGAACTCCTGACCTCAGTTGATCTGCCCACCTCGGCCTCCCAAAGTGCTGGGATTACAGGCATGAGCCACCGCGCCTGGCTAGCTCTTTCTTTTTAAGGGAAGGGAAGAGGAAAGCTAGAGCCCAAGAGGGTGGGCTCTGCAGTCTACAAGCCCTGTGTGGAGTCTGAGCTATTGTTTACAGCTGGCGACTTCAGCCATAACAGTGGCGGGGTCTTGCAGCATGACAGTTTAATTCTTTGCTCCCCAGGCCGGCTTTTGGCCCAGGACCAGGGCCAGAGCTGGAGACCAGGCTGACAAGCCCACTCTTTCCCCTTCTGCTCTAACGCGTCAGAGCAGTCAGCCTCTGCCCTCTGCCCTCCCTGACGGCCACCTCCTCATTAGCTGAGCAATTGGAGGAGACGGGTGTCATGAATACATTGCTTTTCCTTTAACTTGTAATGCCATCGGAAGTCAGAACTATTATTCTAGTTTAATATTCAGAATATCTCAGTATCTCAGTTTTGACTGCATACCTCAAGTTTAGATTTAAAGCTAAAATAAATCCACATTCTCTGAACATGGATTTTTTTATACTTATTAAGCACCTACCATGTTCTTGGAACTGTGTGAACTGCAGAGATGACAGCAAGAAGGAAGTGTGAAGAAAAATATAGTTTTTGCCCTTCCTTAGCCAAAAGCCTCGTTAAAAAAGATTACCACTATCTCAAATCATTCCTACCTCAAGCCTGAGAACCAGAGGAGAGGGGCAGAGTTCAGTGGTGATTAGAGACAATGGTGCCTTCTGTCTTTTGTATGCCCAGTCTTTGCCAGGGACTATGTTGAGTACATATATGCATCATCTCATTTGATGTTCGCCCTCAGTCTTTGAGAGTAGGTGCTATTTCCACTGTGCAGACGAGCAAACTGAGGCTCAAAGGTGGTGTTATGTGTTGGAGGCCACCCTGCAAGGTTGGGTCCACCTAACTCATGAGCTGGTGCCTTTTAACCAACACGTCATTGTCGGGGGAGGCTCTATGAAGACCATGGCAGCCAGTCACTTGATAGAAAGAAAGGATGGTCAAAGAGAGGGGAGGCCACCAGTGTTGAAACTGCAGTCATCAGCATTGCAGTATCCAGAAAGGGGTACACCACGCCTGTAATCTCAACACTTTGGGAAGCTGAGATGGGAGGATGGCTTGAGGTTAGGAGTTTGAGACTAGCTGGGTAGCAGGACAAGACCCCATTGCTATGAAAAATTAAAATTAGGCTGGGCATGGTGGCCTGCTCCTATAATCCCAGCACTTTGGGAGGCCGAAGCAAAAGGACTGCTTGAGTCCAGGAGTTGAGTCCAGGGCAATATAGTGAGACCTCATCTCTCCAAAAAAATAAACAAAATTAGCTGGGTGTGGTGGCATACACTTGTAGTTTTCAGCTACTCAGGATGCTGAGCCCAGAAGTCAAGGCTGCAGTGAGCAGATTGTGCCAAAGCATTCCAGCCTGGGCAACAGAGCAAGACCCTGTCTCAAAATTAACAAAAACAGAAAGAGGGGCATGATCCTCTTAGTCTCTTCTGAACCACTCAGGGTGGACACAAACACAGCATACCCTGAAGTTGTACGTGAGGTCCTGGGCTCCTGGATTTAAGAGGGTAGTGAATAGGCTGAGACTGGAGCTGGGTTTACAGGGTGTAGACACAGTACCAGAGAGTGGAAGCTGCAAAAAGACAGAAATAAGGAGAATGTTCTAGTAGTTTTCTCCACCCTCTGGCAGTTGACTTGAGGGGTGGACAATCAGATCTCACTGGAGGCAACATAGTGTTGGAGCTCTGATGTAACTGGAGGCATGCTAGCGGGTCAGCAATTTGAGTAATGAGGCTGAGGCTGATGCCGGGGCGCAGGAGACTGCTTTCCTCTGTGCTCCAATCCCCCAGGCCTGCTGCCTGCAAGGCACAAGCTGCAAAGCAGGGGTGACAGTTCCCAGAGCTAGAGCATGGGCCACCCAGGCAGGAGCAACACCCCATGCAGAGATAGGGTCAGTCTGCTCAAAGCATGAGTGAGTGTGTGTGTGGTTGGGAGGGAGGTAGCAGCAGCCTACGCTCCTAATGATGATTACGGGGCAAATGTGAATGGAATGGGGTGGCGCAGGGGAGACTCCAAATCAAGAACTAAGAAAAGGCTTAGGGGAGCAGGAGAGCGGAGAATTTTGGGGTACAGACTTCCTCTCTGTCAATTGTGCTGTGCAGATCCAGGAAAGATCCAGGCCAGCTGTCCTGGAAGGACCGATGGGGCTGCCTCTTTGGGACGTTGCCACCTCTGCTCCAGTCGGGAGGGCTGAGGAAACAGGTTCTGCTGAAACAGGCTGATTCACTGTTTCCACTCGGTCCTCGGCTGTGTTGGTGGGCAGATCACACGCCAGCCTCGTAAACTCACTCTCCGCTTGTCCATGTGACGTTTATAGCCCCACAGGGAGCTGGCTTTTTAATGAGCCTAATTTGAGACTGTAAGTAGGAGTTTGTAAAACAAACAGCGAGGGGCTTTGGGTCAAAGCCCAAAGTTTCAGTTTAAATACACAGGGTCACATTAGGGCTGTGCAGACAGGCCAAGACTCCTCTGTGCCCAGGGCAGCAAGAAGAAGGTGCTCCCCAGGGAAAGGCCCACCTTCCCAGGAGAGCTTGCTGCAGGCTCTGTCGTTCCCCCAGAAACTGGGGAGACTTAGAGGGAGACCTTCCTATTTTGGTTCTGTGTGCAAAGCACTCGAGAGCCCTAGTTTTCCCATAGGGAGGCAAGGACTCCTTCGGGGTAGGCCTATGTGCAAGCCCAGGGTTAGAAGTCAGTGCACCGAGGTCTCCAGTGCCTTTCTGCAAAGCACAGCCCCACATCCAGCCTTAAGAGGCTTCTGGGAGGGAAAGTCTGTTATCCACAGGCACTGCATCTGAAACTCAGCATCTCCCTGTAGCTTGATTTCATTTTTGAGAGCTGGTTTTCAAATTAAGATTAAGCTGGAGGGTGCCTGTTATGAGGCCTGTTAAGGTAACCTCTTTCTACAGGGCTCCAGGTGGAGGAGGAGGCTCCTCACCTCCCACTCGGATGCTTAGGGCTCTGTGAACCAAAATTAAAATTCTAAGGCTCCCCAGCCATCTGAATGGACTTCCTCCACAGCCAGGGCACTCTTAAAATTTAACCTGAAAGACTAGTTCAGGCCATGAATGGAAGTGGGGTTGGACATGCCTCACTATACCTCTCTGGCATTAATATCCACACAGACCTTAAGTCTAAGCAGAAGCATTTATCATCTATTCTCTTTGAAGCCTGCTACCTGGAGGCTTCATCTGCATGATGAAACTCTGGTCACCACAACCTCTTATGCAACCCAGACATTCCTTTCTATTGATAACCCTTTCAACCAATTGCCAATCAGAAAATTTTTAAATCTACCTATAACCTGGAAGCCCCACCCCTTGCTTCAAGTTGTCCCACCTTTCCAGACAGAACCAATGGTTTTTTGTTGTTGTTGTTTTGTTTTGTTTTTTGAGATGGAGTCTCACTCTGTCACCCAGGCTGGAAATGCAATGGTGCGATCTCGACTCACTGCAACCTCCGCCTCCCAGGTTCAAGCTATTCTCCTGCCTCAGCCTCCCAAGTAGATAGGATTGGGATTACAGGCATGCACCACCATGTCCAGCTAATTTTTATATTTTTAATAGAGACAGTGTTTTGCCATGTTGACCAGGCTGGTCTGGAACTCCCGACCTCAGGTGATCCACCTGCCTTGGCCTCCCAAAGTGCTGGGATTATAGGCATGACCCACTGCACCCAGCCAAGTTTTTAAATTAAAATTAAGTGAGTGAGTGGGACTCCACAGACTGCCTAGCAGCAGGTGAATGTTCTGGCCAGAGGATTGCCCCGTGAGGGGAGCGTTGAGCCCCCCTATTCAAGCTGAATGAGGGCTAGATTTGCCGTCACCACCTCAAGCCCTCAGGGGACTTGGCTAGAGCCACTCTGTTCTCAGTAGTCTAAGGGACACAGGCACAGCCAGCCAGGCTGGACAGTGTACTCTGAGCAGTCACTTTAGCCTGCTCCTTGGAAACTTGGGGAATCACTTCATCTGCAAGTCACAGAAAACCTGACCTTTAGGGGCTGAACTATGTACCTCTCAAGATTCCTGTGTTGAAATTCCAGCTCCCACTACCTGAGAGTGTGACTGTATTTGGGGATGAAGTCTTTAAAGAGGTAATGAAGTTAAGTGAGGTCATGAGGGTAGGCCTTAACTCAGTATGGCCGATGTCCTTATCAGAAGAAGAGATGGGCCAGGCGTGGTGGCTCACGCCTATAATCCCAGCACTTTGGGAGGCCAAGGCAGGTGGATCACGAGGCCAAGAGTTCGAGACCAGCCTGGCCCACATAGTGAAACCCCGTCTCTACTAAAAAAATACAAAAATTAGCCGGGCGTGGTGGCGCATGGCTTGTAGTCCCAGCTACTCTGGAGGCTGAGGCAGACGAATTGCATGAACCCGGGAGGTGGAGGTTGCAGTGAGCCAAGATCGCACCAGTCCACTCCAGCCTGCATGACAGAGTCAGACTCCTTCTCAAAGAAAAAAAAAAAAAAGATTAGGACACAGGCACAGAGAAAGATCATGTGAAGACGTAGACAGAGAATGGGCCACCTACAAGTCAAGGAGGGAGGCCTCATGAGAAACCAACCCCTGCCAACACCTTGATCTTGAACTTCAGGCCTCTAGAACAGTGAGAAAATAAATGTCTGTTGTTGAAGCCACCCGGTCTGTGGTATTTTGTTATGGCAGCCCTAGCAAATTGATAGACCAACAGGGGGTTATTTATTTATTATTTATTTATTTTATTTTTGCAACAAGAGGTTCAGGGATAGGCAGTGCCTGGTGTCTTTTAGCTGCTGGGTGAGACTGCGAGAGAGCCAGGCTCTTTCTGCCTTTTGCTCTGCCATCCTCAGCACGTTGGCTCTGGCCCCACTCTCTGAGAACAGCTTCAGCCGTAGCAGGGTCCTGCCTCCTGGTTACACAGTGGCTGCTGCTGCACCTTCTTCAAACAGTATGTCACAGTTGAGGCAATAAGAAGAGCAAAAGCCCTGCCAGCCAGAGAGCTGATTATCCCTTTTGATCAGGAGAAGTAGTATTTCCCAGAAACCCTGAAGTCTTGAATTGATGTCTCATTGTCCAGAACTGTGTGGCACGGCCATAAGAGAGCCTGGGAAGATGTCCACCAGGGCTCCTGGCATATTGCATGGCCACTCGAGACAGAACGGCATGTCAGCCAAGAAGGAGAAGGAATGGAGCTGGGTAGGTCACTGAGAGGTCAGCCCGGTTTCAAGTGTCCAGTGATCGTTTTCTTACTTCTTTGCAGGGAAAGATCATAGTGTCCTCCAAGATGCTGGGAATGACATAGTGACCTCTGGCAGGATATACCCATCTGGGAATGAGTGTCCTACTGGGACAATAAACTAGCTTCCTTCCCTATACCTCCTCCACCCCTTCAGTCCCTCTGGTATTGCATATTGTTGCTTAACTATGAGATAACCAGGGAGTGTTTGCTTCTCATAAAGTCTGTAAAATCCCTTTGGAGTTCTTTGAGTAAATGGGGGCTTTTTGAAACATCCTGTTATTTTTCCTCCCTTGCTGACGATAACAGCACATAGCAAAAGTCCTCTTTTCAGGCTGTCCTTCCAAGTTTCTACTACAGCCATGCATTGCTTAATGACAGGGATAGGTTCTGAGAAATGCATGGATAGGTGATTTTGTTGTGGGAACATCATAGTGTGTACTTATGCAAACCTAGATGGTATAGCTTCCTACACACCTAGGCTATATGGTATATCCAAGTGCTCCTGGGCTATAAACCTGGACAGCAAGTTACTGTACTGAATGCTGTAGACAATTGTAACACAATGGTACATATTTCTGTATCTAAATATAGAAAAGGTAATGCATTGCACTATGATCTTATGTTGGCTACAACATCACTAGGTGATAGAATTTCTCTTTTTTTGTTTGTTTGTTTTTGGAGACAGGGTCTTGCTCTGTTGCCCAGGCTGGAGTACGGTGGCATGATTGTGGCTCACTGTAGCCTCAACCTTCTGGGCCCAAGCAATCCTCCCTCCTCAGCCTCCCACAGCTGGGACCACAGCTGCATGCCACCATGCCTGGCTAATTTTTAAATCTTTTGTAGAGACAGGGTCTTGCCATGTTGCCCAGGTTGGCTTTGAACTCAAGCAATCCTCCTGGCTTGGTCTCCCAAAGGGCTAGGATTATAGGTGTGAGCCACCATGCCTGGCTGGTGATAGAACTTTCCAGCTCCATTATAACTTTATGGGACCACCATCGTATATGCTGTCTGTCACTAGCCAAAATGTCATGCAGCACATGACTATTCCTACTACAGACTCCTCCTCTAGTATTTATCATGGTCTACTTAAATTATTTGTGTACATGTTTTTCCTCCCCTCCAGATTAGAAAACTGGGTCTTACTCACCTCTGTATTCCTAGCACTAAGCTTGGTATAATTAGTAGGCGTGTAATGAATATTTGGATAAGTGAATGAATGATGAGAACAGCATGGTAAATTTCCCTAGACAAATAGATCAATGGAACAGAATAGAGAGCCCAGAAATAGGCCTACATAAACATAGTCAACTCATCTTGACAGAGGAACAAAGGTAAACAATGGATAGTCTTTTTTTTTTTTTTTTTTTTTTTTTTGAGATGGAGTTTCGCTCTTGTTGCCCAGGCTGGAATGCAATGGTGCAATCTTGGCTCACAGCAACCTCCACCTCCTGGGTTCAAGTGATTCTCTTGCCTCCTCTCGAGTAGCTGGGATTACAGGCGTGCACCACCACCCCTGGCTAATTTTGTGTTTTTAGTAGAGATGGGGTTTCTCCATGTTAGTCAGGCTGGTCTGGAACTCCCGACCTCAGGTGATCTGCCCACCTCAGCCTCCCAAAGTGGTGGGATTACAGGCGTGAGCCACTGCACCCAGCCAAAGATAGCCTTTTTAACAAATGGTGCTAGGAAAACCAGACATCCACATGCAAAAATAAATAAATAAATGTAGACACAGACCTTACACCCTTCCCAGAATTAACTCAAATGGATCAGAGACCTAAATGTAAAACACAAAACTATAAAACTCCTAGAAGATAACATGGGGAAAAAAATCTAGGATGACCTTGGGTTTGATGATGACTTTTTAGATATGACACCAGACACCAAAAGCATGATCCAGGAAAGGAAGAATCAATCAGCTGCACTTTATCAAAATTAGTTTCTACTCTGTAAGAGACAGTGCCAAGAGAGTGAAAAGACAAGCCACAGACTGGGAGAAAATATTTGCAGCAAAAGATTCATCTGATAAAGGATTGCTACCTAAAATAATATGCAAAGAACTTTTAAAACTCAGCAATAAGAAAACAACCAATCAATTTAAAAATGGATCAAAGATCTTAACAGACATCTCACCAAAGATGATATGCAGATGGCAACTAAATTTGTGAAAAAATGTTCAACATCATCTGTCATTAGGAAATTGCAAGTTACAATGACCATACTAGGACATACCACTGCACACCTCTTAGAGTGGCCAGAATCCAGAACACTGATACCACCAAATGCTGGTGAGGATGTGGAACAACAGGAACTCTCATGCATTGCTGGTGGGAATGCAAAATGGTTCAGCCACTTTGGAAGACAATTTGGCAGTTCCTTAGTTACTCATAGGTATATGATACCAATACAATTCAGCAACTGCATTCCTTAGTATTTGCCCAAAGGAGTTAAAAACTTTTATCTGCTGGGCACGGTGGCTCATGCCTGTAGTCCCAACACTTTGGGAGGCCGCGGCAGGCAGATCATTTGAGGTTAGGAGTTCAAGATCAGCCTGGCCAACATGGAGAAACCCCGTCTCTACTAAAAACACAAAAATTAGCCAGTCATGGTGGCAGGTGCCTGTAAGGCCAGCTACTCGGGAGGCTGAGGCAGGAGAATCGCTTGAACCCAGGAGGCGAAGATTGTGGTGAGCCAGGATCACACCACTGCACTCCAGCCTGGGTGACAGAGTGAGACTCTGTCTGAAAACAAAACAAAACAAAAAAAACTTATATCTACACAAAAACCTGTGCACAGTTATTTATAGCAGGTTTATTAAGAATTGCCAAACTTGGAAGCAACCAAGATGTCCTTCAATATGTGAATGGATAGATAAACTGTGGTACATCCAGACAATGGAATATTATCAGAGCTAAAAAGAAATAAGCTGATGATGCACGACAGGCAAACCTCAAAATTAGGACTTATCCCAGGAGAGTTGTTGGCTTCGCCTAGGAAATAATTCAAGGGTGAGCCAGTGGTGTTAAACAGCTTTTATTGAAGTGGCAGTTTACAGCAGCAGCAAAGGTACTATTCCTTGTGGGTCAGGGGTATCCCATAGGCAGTGTGTCCAGAATAACAGCTTAGAGGCAGTTCCGTACTACTAGTACAGTAATATTTGTACCCACTTTTAATTATATGCAAATTAAGGGGTGGCTCGTGCAGAAATTTCTAGGATGAGGTTGGTAACTTCCAGGTTATCAGGTCATTGCCACGGAAAGAGGCAGGAACATCTAGGTGTTGCCATGGAAATGGTAAACCAACCATGGCACACTGGTGGGCGTGTCTTAATGGAAAGCTGCTTCTGCCCGGGACCTGTTTTAGCTAGTCCTCAATTTGGTCTGATGTCCAAGCCCTGCTTCTGGAATATCAAGCCATGCAGACATGGAGGAAACTTAAATGTATATTTCTTTTCTTTCTTTTTTTCTTTTTGAGATGGAATTTCGCTCTTGTTGCTCAGGCTGGAGTGCAACAGCACAATCTCAGCTCACTACAACCTCCTGCCTCCCGGATTCAAGTGATTCTCCTGCCTCAGCCTCCTGAGTAGCTGGGATTACAGGCACCTGCCACCACGCCTGGCTAATTTTAGTATTTTTAGTAGAGATGGGGTTTTACCATGTTGGCCAGGCTGCTCTTGAACTCCTGACCTCAAGTGATCTGCCTGGCTCGGCCTCCCAAAGTTCTGGGATTACAGGTGTGAGCCACTGCACCCGGCCTTGAATGTATATTTCTAAGTAAAGGAAGCCAATCAGAAAGGGCCATGTATAGTATGATTCCAACTATATGACATTCTTAAAAAGGCAAAACTATGGAGACAGTAAAAAGATCAGTGGTTGCCAGGGGTTGGGCAGGGAGGGATGAATAGGCAGAGCACAGAGGATTTTCAGAGCAGACTGATACCTGCTCATCATCAACTGAGGTGTCCCTTCTTCCAGGAAGCCTTCCTTGACCACCAAGCCTAGGTAGTCTGGCTTAGAGATCCTTAGTTTGGATTCCTTGTGCTGACTGCATCACAGCCCTTTGTATCCAATATTTATTTGGCTGGCATACTGTCTTCCCTCCTCCACTAGACTGCCAACTTCATGAGGGTAGGGACCCCCATTCACTTTCATATCCCCAGAGCATAGCTGCTTCTGGTGTATTATTAGGTAATCATTACACAGTTGTTGAATAAATGAGTGAATGAATGCAGAATAAATGAGCCATCTGTGGTGAGTAAATCACAATTTTTTTTTAAATCACTGTGGATCCTAGTGGCCTTTAAGAAAATAACAGAATCGAGTGGCCTTGGGTCTATCCCTCCTTCCTAATAGTGACAATAACTTTTATATAGTATCTGATGACTTCTTTGTCTTGAAGCCATCAGCCCTAGGAATCAGGCTATTAATAAAAATATTTTTATTTACTATATGCTTTACTGTGTGCCAAGCCTTTTGCTAAGTGCTTATTTACAAAACCTGTTTTAATGCTCAATCTTGTGAATTAGGAAGTATGATTAGGCCTATTATCCAGAGAAACAAATTGTGGCTCAGAGAGCTCAAGTAACTAGTCCAGAGTCACACAGCTAGTAAGTGGCAGAGCTGGGTTTTGAACCTCATTGCTCTGACTCATGCCCTTTAATTGTCTGAAGAGTCTAATGATCAATCCCTTTTGGAATTGGAACCGAAGCTGATTGAAGCAGGTTATGTTTATAAGCAGGACTCCAGTGCAGTAAATCTCTGATGAATATTCTCTGATGAATATACTCATGTTCTGTTAATAAACATCTTGGCCATCTGCCCTGGGCCTTGTGATGTTTGCATCTTTTCCTTAAACTCTCAAGGAGAGACTTGTGTTTGTGCCCTTTTGATCCCTTTCTTCCTCTCTGAGCTGGCACTGAGAGGTCACACCCACTGCCCTCTTTCTGTCCCTGGCAGCACTGATCCCTAGCAGGGGAAGGATGCAGCTCAGCTGTCACTCCCTGCGCTGGCTTTGCCTCCTCTCCCTCCCTCACCCCCTGCCCAGCAATGGCAGCATCCCACCAGTGGTGATTCGGCCACTGTAGCTGTAGAATGATCACACAGGCTCAGAGCAGTAGGTACACGGCAGGGCAGAGCATCAGCAAGATGCCACAGAAAGTCCCACTGGTGATGCAGTGCCTGAGTCACCACCACCTGGGGCCAGGCGAAGGGGCCAGATGATAGATACTTGGAATGAGGCATGCAGACAATGTCTCATCTACTGGTTAGCAATTTAGAATGGGTTCTCCCTGAGTTTCTTCCAAAAGCAGTACCCCCTCATTTTTTGGTAAAATTTCTATAAAACAACCAGGTTTTCCTTTCATGTACCTTTTTCTTTTAACCTCCATGAGCTCATAATAATTGTAATATTAGTTTTGTTAAAAAGTATGAAGAATAATGGGAGAAGAATCATCTAAAAGTATACCATGCAGAAATAAATTCTAGGCTCTTTATAGGTAACAAGATAATAGCGATAGTTTTGGCTGGGTGCAGTGGCCCACACCTGTAATCCCAGCACTTCGGGAGGCTGAAGTGGGAGGATGGCATGAGCCCAGCAGGTGAAGGTTGCAGTGAGCTGAGATTGCACCACTGCACTCCAGCCTGAGAGACAGAGCAAGAACCTGACTTTAAAAAAAAAAAAAAAAAAAAAAAAGTGGTATTTTTAACATTCACTTTTTCCTTTATCTAAAAATTTAATTTCAGATAACAAATGTTATACCATAATTCAAATTATGGGTGTTCTTTGCTCAGAAGAAACATTTTGTCACCCTCCTCTGCCTCTGATTACATCTCATCCCCTCTCTCATATTGCTCAAAACAGTCATTGTTCCTATGCCAGTAAGCCATATTCATTATAAAAAGTTTGGAAAGCATAGTAGGGCAGAAAGCATTTTTATGACCCTAGCATCAAGCGAACCACTCTTTTAGTGGCTGTTGAGAAGAAGGCTGATATTTAAGGTACTGAGTCTACGACTGCTTCATCTCCATCCTTAATTTCTCCATTTACTTTGTGTGTGTGTGTGTGTGTGTGTGTGTGTGTGTGTGTTTTGAATGTGCTGCCTTAATAGAAAAGTGGCTCTGTGTTGTCATTGGCTTACAGGAATTAGTGTGCTCACCCACTGCGGGTCAAGGACAGCGTATGACAAAGGACCGTGGTCATGTGGCGGACTGTTCTTTTCAAAGAGGCAGTAGTTCCAAGACTCATGCTCCCTGGGTCACTAAGTTCTTCATGTGTTACATCAATACTTTGGAGAGAGGCCACCCAGAATCTCTTAAAAAGTATTCTAAATAACACAGAGATATTTTTCCACAGGAAAAAGCTCAGTAGCTCGAATGTTAGTTTTCTGCCCCACATTGCCCAATGTTGTGACTATTGCACTGGTTTTTCCAGGGTTCACCTTTAGGTTTAATTTCCTGAAATTGATCTGCTTGGTTACACTGGCTTTATTTTATACTCTTTTGCAAAGAGGAGAAATGGCAGTGAGCAGATGGCATTTTATTAAGTTTTTGCTTCAAAAAAATTAAACAGCAATGTAGCATCCCTGCTAGTTTTCTTACAGGCACCTAATAGTCATCCTCTGGGTCTGTGTCAGAACTGATATTTACCATAGATGAATCACCAAAGTGCCACTGAGCCAGCATTCCCAGTGGGGATTCCAAATTTGCCACACTTGTGGGGCTGTCTAGTTTTGTTTGTTTGTTTTTGAGATGGCGTCTCGCTCTCTTGCCCAGGCTGGAGTGCAGTGGCAGCGATCTCGGCTCACTGCAACCTCCGCCTCCCTGGTTCAAGTGATTCTCCTGCCTCAGCCTCCTGAGCAGCTGGGACTACAGGCACCTGCCACCACGCCCGGCTAATTTTTGGATTTTTAGTAGAGATGGGGGATTTCACCATGTTAGCCAGGCTGGTCTCGAACTCCTGACCTCAAGTGATCCACCTGCCTTGGCCTCCCAAAGTGCTGGGATTACAGGCGTGAGCCACTGCGCCTGGTCAGGGCTGTCGAGTTTTATAGTAGTTCCTCCATCCTTCTAAATTCTAACCCTGCTGGAGCCCCTCTGAGAATTGGAGGAGCCAGCTGGATGGGAGAGAGGCAGTCCCCACACCAACTCCACAAGCAGGTGCACCCCCAGCAGGCCCAAAGGATTCCAAGAGGAAGTGAATCCAGCCCGGTGTTCGGAGTGAGGTTTACTTTGCACCACTCTTTTTTAGGAAAATTGGGGTTGCTGGCCCTGAGCACATCACCCTTTGCCAGCCTTTTATCTCCCCCTGGGTTCTGTGGCCGCCAGCTTCTTAAGCAGTTGTTAAGTGTGTGTTATTATTTTACTGTTTAACAGTGAGCTCCTGGGCCCCGGGCCTGACTTCACCAGAAGACCACCTTTTGCCAGTGCTGTTCTGATAACTTAGCCAGAATGAAGTGTTAAGTGGAGGATAATTGTTATTTGCTTTTAATTTCCTGACCTTAGAAAAAGAAGGAAAGCACAGTGCTGATGGGGTGGTGAGTGCTGAAGGAAGAGTGCTGTCTCTGAGTTTGCATGGGGAGAGCCTCGTGTTCTCCTCCTTCAGACTGAGCCAGTGTGGACTCCAGTATCAGACACACTGGGTCTGAATCCCACCTCTGCCATTTTCTAGCTGTGGACCTCAGTCAAATGACTCAGCCCATCTAAACTTCAGTGTCCCTCGCTGGCAAATGGGGTTAGTAATAGTACTCCACTGCGAGGGTCTTTCTAGGGTTTCAAATGCTCGTTCATCCAATCCCTGGCAGAAAGGACCTACTCAATGCATGGTAGTCCATGTCCATTTATTATTAGCCATGGTTAAAACCTGCTTCTCTGGCCAGGTGCAGTGGCTCATGCCTGTAATCCCAGCACTTTGGGAGGTCAAGGCAGGTGGATCACTTGAGGTCAGGAGTTCGAGGCTAGCCTGGCCAACATGGCGAAACCCCGTCTCTACTAAAAATACAAAAATTAGCCGAGCATGGTGGTGGGTGCCTGTACTCCCAGCTACTCCGGAGGCTGAGGCAGGAGAATTGCTTGAACCTGGGAGGAGGAGGTTGCAGTGAGCTGAGATTGCGCCACTGCACTCCAGCCTGAATGACAGAGTAAGGCCCTGTCTCAATAAATAAATAAAACCTGCTTCTCAAACTTCCCCTTATCTCTCCTGTCTCCCAGCATTTTCTCCCCATTTGAATTTTTGGGCCTCACAGTATCATGGTCACGTCTTGAGATGGGTTTTGCCCAAGTATTAGATGACTTTTTGATTATCCTTTTTTTTTTTTTTTTTTTTTTGAGACAGGGTCTCACTCTGTCACCCAGGCTGTGTCGCCCAGGCTGGAGTGCAGTGGTGCAATCTCGGCTCACTGCAACCTCTGCCTCCCAGTTTCAAGCAATTCTCCTGCCTCAGCCTCCTGAGTAGCTGGGATTACAGGTGTGCACCACCATGCCTGACTAATTTTTGTAGTAATTTTTGTATTTTCACCATGTTGGACAGGCTGGTCTCGAATGCCTGATCTCAAGTGATCCTCCTGCCTTGGCCTCCCAAAGTGCTGGGATTACAGGTGTGAGCCACCACGCCTGGCTTGATTATTCCTGATGAATCACTTTACATGGATGATTGACAGCTCCTGGGGCATATTCCATTCCACTTCAGGTTTTTCCTCTTATTTCCCTCATCTTGCTCTTGTCTCAACACCCATCCCCCCAGCCTCTCTGAACTTAGAATGTCATGTGGAATACTATTCAGTGAAGGGTTTGGGGGCTTTTTTAAAGAATTGACTGTCCTGGCTGGGCATGGTGGCTCACACCTATAATCCCAGCAAATTTGGGAAGCTGAGGCGGGCAGATTGCTTGAGCCCAGGAGTTCTAGACCCGCCTGGAAAAGATGACAAAAACTCCATCTCTCCAAAAAATACAAAAATTAGCTGGACACGGCAGTGTGCCCCTGTACCCCAGCTACTCAGGAGGCAGAGATGGGAGGATTGCTTGAGCCCCGAAGGTTGAAGCTGTAGTGAGCTGTAATCCCATTACTGCACTCCAGCTTGGGTGACAGAATAAAACCTCGTCTCAAAACAAACAAAAAGAATGAATTGACTGTCCTTACACTCTATTTGGGTCTCCCTGAAAACTATTCATGCTTCAACTTTTCTACACTTTGTTCTGGCATGACTAATATATAACAACTGGGCATTAAATGTACTATATATAAAATTCCAGATCAGAGAATGGAAACACTTAAAAATAAAAAAATTTTAAAAAGGGGTTGGCTTATCTGGGCTATTTGGAAACCGTTCAGTGGGGCAGTATAATTTTTATTTTCAGAAGCTTATGGATTGCACCCCACCCAAGCTTCCCGCGCACCTAAGAAGGCTGGCAGAAGACGCCCTGCCAAGTTTCCTTGCGAGTGCAGTAAAGGAGTAATCCTCTGCCCTCTGGTTTTCCTTTCAAAGAAACTAGGGACAGGCGGTGGCCTTGGCTGCCTTGGCCATGAGCTTCCCTGAGCCGGGTAGCTGGTGGGCTAGTGGGGCCGTTGGTGGCAGGTGCAGAAATGGTACCACACTCACTGTCCCATTGCCCAGAAAGAACATTTACAAGTCTGGGGAGAGCGCTCGTAATGGTTGCTGAGTTTGGAGGACAGTTATGTTACAGTCTTGGTGGCTTTTTGATGAATGGTCAGATAAAGCTTCACTATAAACCTATCCAGTTTTACACAGAAAGGACATCTTTTTTACATTTAAAGTTGTGTGTGTGTATATGGGGGAAAGTGGTGGTGTTATAGCTCTGGAGGAAATTAAACCATAGGAAATAGTAAAAACAAGGTCTCTGTGTTCCCACTGTTGACAATTCACAAGTTAAATGGTGGAATGAGAAGGGATAAAAAGGATTTCAGGGGTGCACCTGAGTGCTGTCGCACACATAGGGGTCAGAGTCTAGAATCCCAGTGCTGGGAGGACTTGAGAAGCCATAGATTCCACCCCCGTGGTTTACAGAGAAGGGAATGAAATCCCCATCAATTTGGCCTTTGGCCTAAGCCCTGCTTCTAAAAACCCTTTAGAAGTCTGGCTTGTCATCCCAAAGTGCAGTCCACCAGCTTCCGTCAGCTTGGAAGAGACAGCGCCTCTGCAAGCTAAAACTCAGCTCACGTCCCGGTTGGCAACTGGCAAGAAGGCGGCTTCCCAGTCTTCTGAGAACTGGGTTTCCCTTCTAACTCAGTGGCACCCTCTCTGGGCCCTGGTGGAGAATCACTTAGGAAAGAAGCAGGCTGCTGTCCTCCAGAGTTCCACCCATACCCCTACCATTGACCCTACTCCTACCACTACCCCTCACCCCCATCCCTCACCCCCACCCCCACCCCAACCCCTCACCCCATCCTCACCCCCACCTCTACTCTCCACCCCCACCCCTACCCCCACCCCTACCCTCCACCCCCACCCTACCCCCACCCCTACCCCCACCCCCACCCCTGACCCCCCAACCTCTCACCTCCACCCCTACCCCTCACCCCCACCCCTACCCCTCACCCCTACCCCTCACCCTCACCCCCAACCCTTTCCCTCACCCCCACCCCTACCCCTCACCCCCACCCCTACCCCTCCCCCTCACCCCCATCCTCACCCCCACGCCTACCCTCCACCCCTACCATCACCCCTCTGGGCTAGAGCAGAGCAGAGTGAAAAGTAGCTTAGAGAAGCGAGGATCAGGTGTGCACAGGGTTCCTAACTCTGCTGATATCTTGGGAGGTGCTGGGAAATTTTCCAGTTTACTGGCAGAATTACTCTCCTCCCTAAATTTCAAAAAGCAGAGAAGGACGTTATCTATTCTCTTTTCTGGGGGAAAAAAAAAGTTTTTTTTTGGAGACAGAGGCTCACTCTGTTGCCCAGGCTGGAGTGCAGTGGCACGTTCTCATCACTGCAACCTCCACCAGGTTCAAGTAATTCTCCCTCACCTCAGCCTCCTGAGTAGCTGGGATTACAGGTGTGCACCACCATGCCCGGCTAATTTTTGTATTTTTAGTAGAGATAGTGTTTCACCACGGTGGCCAGGCAGGTCTCAAACTCCTGGCCTCAAGTGATTCACCCGTCTCTGCCTCCCAAAGTGCTGGAATTACAGGCCTGAGCCACCACGGCCAGCCAGGATGCTAACTATTCTTAAAGGATAGTTAGATGTGCAAAGGAGTTTGGACTTCTTTGTGAGGCTAACAGAGAGTCATTGAAGAGTACAAAGCTGGAGCAAGGTGACCAGAGTAAGGGGAAGGGGGTAAGCCTGGAGGCAGGGGATGGGTGAGGAGGCTGCTGCAGGTCCAGGGGGGCAGGGGAAGATGGCAGCCTGACTGGGGTGGTGGCAGTGAAGGATTTTTGAGATATGTTGGTGGTAAAAGCAGCAAGGCTTGGTGGTTGATGGGAGGTGGATGAGAAGGGAGAGAACTGATAAGGGTGACTCACAGGTCTCTCCTTGGGCAACCGGGTGGCCACGGTGCTGTACTCACAGAGGGGCTGGTGGAAGAGGAGGTGGAGGCTTTGAGGAACAAGGTAATGAGTCTGAGATTCAAGGGTTGGGCAAGCAGAAAGAGAAAAGTTGAGCAATGGAAGATTAGGGTTCTGTGTAGAGATTGAGAAATGTTGAGGCTTCAGCACAGTCCACAGCACATTCGAGTACAACACTGAGCAGAAATGCTGCTGTTTTAGAAGAGGGAGGCAAAGGATCACTCGATCATGCTCACTGCTCCACACTCCGAGATTCACTCACAGTCATGGGTACAGGGTGGTGCATGCGGTTCCCTCCGTGGCTTTTACATGGTCCCAAAGCGGTTGTCCCTCTTCCCTCTAATAAAGGAATAAAGGCAAATGTTCCCGCATGCTTTCTTCTCCATCATGACAGAAAGGAAGAATTTTTTTCTAAGGATTTTACTAAATAGAAAAAAATAGATATGTCCTTTCCTTTTTTCTTTTTTAAACTCCTTTTCACTAGAATGATCTTGCCCTGGGCCCGTTATGCTAGAGCTGGGAATTTGTGTGGGGAAAGGAACACATCGAGGTGTTAAGAGAATGTAAAGAAAATATTTTCCATCTCTGGTGAGAACTGCTGAGGAATGAGCTGATGTGGGAGAGAGAATTTAGAATTGATGTAGAGAAGACTTTCTTACAGAGCAGACTTGGAAGACAAGCTGTGGAACTGTGTTCTGCAAAGATCAGAGGGAGTCAGAGAGACAGCTTTTTGTCTGTAGAGTTTCATGGGAGGCCTCCAGGAACCCTTGGCAGGAGGTGCCTGGAGACCCATGAAAGGGAAAGTCCTACTTCTGGGCCTTACTTTGAATTTCCTCCTCTTAAACCTCAGGCCCAGACAAAACCTCTTTCCTCTCCAATATCCTAGGCGCTGCCTAGCTCGAGAAAGGACAAGGTGGGCAAAGTTAGAATGTCATTTATTTCAGCAGCTTGAGAAGAAATTGAAACTCCAGTCCCTGTTCCGTTTCTGACCCTCAGTGACCTTAGGCAAGCCACTAAACTTTTCAGGCCTCAGTTTTCTCAGCTGTAAGATGGGTGGGAATAGTACCTCCTGCAGTTCTGGGGTGTTAGATAACGCATGTAAGTGCCTGGCACATAGTAAGCCTTCAATAAAAGTCAGCTGTGGTTGTTACTGATCATGACTGTCCTGTCTCCCTTGCTGGAAGAACAAATTACTAGATGTAAAAAGTCATTTAAAAGCAAAAGGTACTAGGCAAAAGTTGTGATGCTATCAATTACTATTATTAATAATAGGTTCCTAATTACTTTTGCCACGGTATTAAGTGAAGGCCTCTTTGGGTGGGTGATGACTGAGAAAATGGGAACTATTATTAATGGAGCTGACAGCTCCTGTTACTAGCTCCATTGACATAATATTTCTCTCTGGGAATCCTTTGACAAATCAGCTGAATTTCCTATTCCCTTACCCTAAGCTCTGTAAATTTGATCCACATGTCTCCAGTGTTGTTTCTGTAGATTAATAATGGAGAAAGGAGGAGGAGTCAGGCCTGCACTGGGCTCTCCCAGCTGTTTGGCCTGTCGTGGGTTTCAGCCTGTAGTTGGGGTGGTTTTCCCTTTTGTTTTACTTGTTTTAAAGCTTACGGCCAGCTCTTCCCAATGTGTTTGGTTACTCAGCTGTCAGGGAGAGTTTCTGCTTTAGGGACTGGGGCCCTGGCAGGGGGCTGCGGGGGAGAGCCCAATCATGAACTCTTCCTCCTCCTCCAACAGAAACAAAGCTTGAAGGAAGTGCTTTGAAGCAGTGCTTTGCTAAGTCAGCACTGGATGTGATGAGAGGGGTCGCTGCCATCCAGGAGAGGCAAAGGGAGATGGAGAGGGGGCCTTCACCACATCAGCCAGGAGGAGAGCGGGGAGGCCTGGGTCAGGGGAAGGTCAAGCTAGGAGGGCAGGACTGACCATCAGCTGAACCTGCAGAACGGTCAGAGAACACACTGAGGCCCTGGGCTGGAGGAAGACCTCTGTGTGCATTTCCTCAACAAAGAAAAACACATGGGGTTCAGCACAGGGTGTCCATGAGTGAAATGGGCAGTAATAATACAGCCATATTGTCATATGCACCAGCCACACATAAGGACAGCCATGAGTGAGCTTTGGTGATGTGTTCACTGGACTCTGAGCTCACAGAGGAGTTAAGTATATGCATTGTGGAACCAGTCCATCCCAGATTTGAATCCTAGCTCTTCCACTTACCTGAGCAAGTTACTCAAAGTCTCTGAATGGCAGTAGCCCAGTATCTCAAATGGAAGTCAGTAGTACCCATCACACAGGGTTTTTTTGTTTTGTTTTGTTTTGTTTTTTGAGACACAGTCTCTGTTGCCAGGCTGGAGTACAGTGGCGTGATCTCAGCTCACTGCAAACTCTGCCTCCCGGGTTCAAGCGATGCTCCTGCCTCAGCCTCCCGAGTAGCTGGGATTACAGGTTAATTTTGTATTAAAATGAAAAAACTAGCCACCACACCTGGCTAATTTTTGTATTTTTAATAGAGATGGGGTTTCTCCGTGTTGGCCAGGCTGGTCTCAAACCCCTGACCTCAAGTGATTTACCCACCTCAGCCTCCCAAAGTGCTGGGATTACATGTGTGATCCACTGTGCCTGGCCCTTATAGGGTTGTTGGAAGAATAAATGAGATAACGTAAATGAAGCCTATGTTCCCAGCACAAAGTAAAAATAATAGCAACAGCACTTGGTAGAGCATGTACTCTGAGCCAGGCATTGGTCCAAGCATTGACCCCCAGTTACTCAGTTAATCCTCACAGCAGCCCTGTGAGCTAGGTACTCTAGTTATCTCTAGTTAACAGATGATGAACTGATGTAGAGTCTAAGTAACCTGACCAAGATCACACCACTGGTTACGTGACAGCCAGAATTACGAACCCCAACATTCTGCTCCAAAGCCCTGTCTGCTGTACCTGTTGCTGCTGTTGTCCTTGTTACATCACACGTGTTTAGGGACTTCTAACCCAGACTTGGCCACATCCCGGTGCTCTCCAGTTATCTCTAGGAATTTTCAGAGATTTTCTCCAAAGTGATTAAATTCCTGTGGGTATTTTTCTTTAAAAAAGAAAAAAAAAAAGTTTGTGGGTGAGTGTTGGAAAAAGAAAATCTGTCCATCAAAGAAACAGTGGTTACCAAAAGTTGGGAATCCCTATCTAGATTCTGACTGCAACTAGAATCTCTGTGGCCACATGCTCTTAAGAGCCAACATGTAATTTTAAACCAGTCTGATTTCACTTTTCTGGTGCTTTCTAAGAAGCCACATAGTGAGTTGGAGAAATTTACAGGCTGTCACCCTCTGGGATTGATTCTGACAGTTCTGCTCCACTGCTGTTGAAGTGTTAATGAAAAACATTAATTGGACTTGGCCCGTGGCTAGGACACGTCCCCTTCTTGAAGTGGAGAAGGCAGCATCCCTTTTGAATGGTTGCTCCCAGCATGGGGAAAGGAGAGGACTCAGGGCGGCACTGCCCTTCAGGAAGTCAGGATGGGCATTTACATCTGACTCAGCCATCCCTGAGCTGCATGAAAACAAAGTCAGGTCTCTTTGTCACCCCAGAACCCTAAGTATAGCACAATACCTGGGCTGAGTCAGGCACTCTGTAAATATTCAACGAGCGAGTGAATGAATGCTTGTATGATCCAGGAGCCTGGGCTGAGTCAGGCACTCTGTAAATATTCAGCAAGTGAGTGAATGAATGCTTCTATGATCCAGGAGCCCAAGAAGGCCAGTTTCTTGAGTACCTCCAAGAAACGATGGTCTCCACGTGCTTAAAACCACAGCTACGAGTGAGCTACTTCTCATTCTGGCCCCTATAGCACCGTCCACAGTCAAAGTTCTCAAGTCCTCAAGGCTCAGAGAGATTTTACCTCCTGAACCTCTCTCTGTCAAGAGCAGGGGAGCAGGGCTGAGCCCTGCCTGCAGCAGGCTGGGGCCCACTGAACTTCCACTCCTTCCTAAGTGTGACCTGTCTGCCTTCTTTCCCCATAGGTGTCCTCTCCCTCCCCGCATACTTCAGCCCCTACAACGGCGGGTCCCTGGGCCATGACGAGCGAGCCGATGCCTATGCCCAGCTGGAGCTCCGAACCCTGGAGCAGTCCCTCCTGGCCACCTGCGTGGGCAGCATCTCGGAGCTGAGTAAGTGTGGCCTCAGTGTCTAGCTGGATGGTAGAGCAACGGCGAGGTCTCAGGGCTGGGGGAAGGCAGGGAGAGCTCGCCTCCTCCTCCTCCAAGTGCTCTGGCCTCCTCCTCCTCCAAGTGCCTTGCCTTCCCTGAAAGCTAGATCTTTCTAGACCAGAGGTTGCAAATACACAAATCTGGATTTCTGGTTTCTCTTGAAAAAACAAATGATCTAGCAACATGGTACCCCATTCCTGCACAGCAGTGACCCACGGGAGCTAAGTAGCAGCAAAGTGGGTGGCATGTGTTCCCCACTTTGCCACAGACCTGGGTTTCATCCTGGGGAGGCTGTTTCATTAATTTCACCTGCCTGGCCCCACAGGCTCTGAATTCACAACTGGTGCTCTTTCTCGAAAGAAAGCACACCCAAAGCCTCAATATAGTAAAAGGAAGATAACAATAGAGCCCCTCTGGCTGAAGGCAGGTGTGGCCAGGTGGCATCTCCCAGGACTCAGGGCTCTGTGGCACACACTTGGAACTTGATGTGGCTCTTTACCATTGACAGCTGCTTCCAGGGTGTTAGGAGAGATGAAATCCCATGCCAGCTCCTGAGCTCCCCCTCTCATTACCCATTTGATTTGAGAAATCTGACTACATCCTCTGCTGCCTTCATTCCCCCTCGCTCTGTTGAGATCACCCAGTGGAGGGCAGTGACACAGCAGGGGTCATAGCACACAGCATGGGCACACCTGGAGTTTCCCTCTGCTCCGGCCTTCTCCGTTTGTGATTCCCTCAAGTCTTCTGACCCCTGAACAATAAACGGCAAGCCTCTGTTTCTTCAGGTCATGGCTTCCTCCTTCCCTGCATTCTTCTGCCCCCTCTACAGACAGGAAATGAAGGTGCCTGGTTCAAGGTCACAGAGCAGAGCTGCAATAGGGCTGGGAGAGAAAGCAGGATTTCTGACTCCCTGTCTCCTGGTGACATTACAGTAGGCAGGGCCAGGATGTTGTTGCCTGGGTCCCCTGTCCCCTGAGGGGCCCCACAGGAAGTGGGTTCTGGTTTCATCTCCGTCCCTGAGAAGTGTCTCCTGGACAATGGGCTGTCTTGGGCCCTCGCACAGTCATGCTTTGGTGAGTTCTTGTGCCCTGCAGACAGTAAGGGACACAGCCCCTGGTCCACTGGAGAGCACCTTGGTTTTACTTTACACTTGAACATTAAGTGAGCGCCTTCTGTGTGCAAGACACCATTGTGAAGCACCATATTCACTTTTTATCTCATTTGTTCCTCAGAACAATGCAGCAAGTTATGTCCTGATGAGAGAACTGAGGCTTAGAGAAGAAAAGTGATTTTCTCCAAGTCACACGGATCAGAGCTGGGGGCTTGACTCTGGACGTGTCTAGGGCTGTTGGCCCCCTGGATAAGACTAGCAGCCCAGCCACCAGCTCCTTGGGGCAGCTGAGATCAAGATCGGGGCTGATCCTTTGCCTCTTCTCATGGTGGCCTCATGCCCATTACAACCCCAGCCCAGCCTAAGGGAGGAGCATTTAGAGGCCTCCCCTAGGTAAGGGCTTGACATCATTCTGCCATTACCGCTAGCCAAGGGGCCAAGACCTGTTGGCTCTACCACTTACAACAATCCTGAGTTTTAGTCTGCCCCTTTCACCAACTCCACTGCTACCAACTGAGCCCAAGCTGACCATTTGTTTTGTTTTGTTTTGTTTTTGAGATGGAGTCTCGCTCTGTCACCCAGGCTGGAGTGTGGTGGTACAAACTTGGCTCACTGCAACCTCCGCCTCCAGATTCAAGAGATTCTCCTGCCTTTACCTCCCTAGTAGCTGGGACTATAGGTGTGCACTACCACACCTAGCTAATTTTTGTATTTTTAGTAGAGACGGGGTTTCACCATGTTGGCCAGGCTGGTCTCGAACTCCTCACCTCAAGTGATTCCCCACTTTGGCCTCCCGAAGTGCTAGGATTATAGGCATGAGCCACTGCACCTAGCCCCAAGCTGCCCATTTAAAGCTTAAATTGGGTTGTGTCACTCATCTGCTCGATATCTATCCCCTCTATCCCCCGACAATGGCTTCCCGGCTCACTCGGTAAAATCCAAAATCCTCACTCTGGCCCAGGATCCATATATGATCTGACTTCATCACTTCATCCTCTTCTCTGTGGACTGCACTCCAGCTGCCTGGCCTCCTGGCTAAGGACCCTCCCACTCCAGAGCCTTCACACTGGCTTTCCCTCTGCCTGCAACACTTTCCCCTTGATCCTCAAGTACATTGGTCCTTCACATTTTCAAGCCTCTGCCCAAATGGCACCTTCTCATTCAGGCCTTCCATGAGTACCACACTCTCATTCCACTGTCTTCCCTCTTGTGGCTTTGATTTTATTAAAGCACTGATCACCACTTGACATGTATTATATATTTACTTACGAATAGTTTATCATCTCTCTCCTCTGACTAGAAGAGTCAGCTTCCTGAGATTGGAAACTTTATCTCCTTTGTCCACGGCTGTATCCTCATTGCTTAGAACAGTACCTGGTACAGAGAACAGTACCTGAGGTGCAGCGTGCACACGTGTGTGTGTGTGTCTGCACACATGCATGCCTGTGAGTATGCATGTTCATGTGTTAGGAGGAATGAGGTCTATCCCACCAAATCTTTTCTCCTAAAACTCGCCTAGGATTTGTCCACATCCTGGCCCAGCCACTCCTCAGGGCCAAAGGAAGAAGCCTCCTTACAGCATCTTTTCACAGACCAGAGAACAGGCTGTGTCATGTGCCAAGTTGCCCTGTTCCTCCCTTTGAAACCAGGGCTTTTGCTAACCTGCTGTGGAGGAGGGAGGAGACAGAGGTGGAGGCAGATATTGCAGTTTTTCTCCCTGAGACTAAAGAACTTAATGAGGCTAGTGATACTTGGCACTGAACCCCTTGGACCTCAGAGTGTACCCTGAGTTTACATGCATTAACTCCCTGAGCCTCTCCAACATCAGGCTGCCAGATAGGGTGAGAAGTTTCACTCTTGTATGAGATCCAGCTTCACACGGAGTTTTGGGACTTGTGCTTTTTCTTTGTCCCTCTCTACCCGCAAAAATTTTAAAGGGAGAGAATACAAAATAAAACAAAACACTTCTTTTTGAAGGGAGCCAGATGTTCTAGGCCTTATTTTGAAGACGGTGTTGAATTCCAGACTCTCTCCTGCTGTTTTTATTTGATGGCTCATAATGAGAGGTGGAAGGACCAGAGTGAAACCTAGCACCTCTAATCAAGTCTTTCATGGTTAACAAGGGGGGAGGACTTGTTTTTCCTTGCCTGGGGGGTGTTTCTGGGCTTCAGACTAAGGTTTCATTGAGTGTAGGATCAATTGAAGTTTCAGAAGAAGCTCTGAGTCCCTGCCATGCTTAAACTGAGAGCCCAGCCTAGCCTGCATCAGGCCTTCTCAAACTATCCATGGTGAAGGTCCAGAGATTTTATTCCCCTCAGTCTGCTGCAGAATGAAACCTTTATAATGAAAAATCAAAATAAATGTCTAGAAAAAGGAAATAAGACATGTGAAATGCAAGCCCGATTTTTAAAATTATTATTAGCTAGATATAAAATTACTGTCAATTGCTATGTAAGTTTTTAAAAATTCACTCTTCACTTCTGAAATTAACTTACTGCAAACCAGTAAGTTTGTGGACCTGTCCCGGTTCACAGACCACACTTTTAGTAGCAGCCATGTGATGGTCAAGAGCATGCGTTTGGGAAGCAGGGACCCCAGTTCAAGTCCTGGCTGATTGACTTACTAGTTGCAGAACTGGGACGGGTCATTTAACTCTTGCAAGCTTGCTTCCTTGTCTGTAGAGTAGAAAGACCTCCTTCACAGGGTGGCTGAAAAAGTTAAAGGAAATTTTGTCTATCTTTTCATGTCTGTCATGAAGCCTAGAAAATACAAAGTGGCAGGGAGCAAAAATCACCCTAGGAGAAGGTTCCAAGCAAGCCGCTTTCTTTGCCATAAGTGGGTTGCCACGCAGTGTAAGTTTTTAGACGTCACAGTCAGAGTTCTCTGCAGCCATTTGTCTTTCTGGTCTGAGAGAAACTGACCATAGCAGGGCTTGGATCGAAGAAGCCGGGGACCTCCATCTCCAGCTGCCTTCGTGGTTTTTCTGAACTTTTGGGTTATCTGCTTCTGTTTGGATGGGAGATTCCATTTCTTTCTTGATTTTCTTGTCTACATGAAGCAGGAAGTGTGCTGCCAAAGGGTTCTCCACCAATAACAATAAAACAACAATAAAAATAATTAAAGATAATGACTTCTACCTTGTTGAGCCTTTGAAATGTTATTTCAACAAGGTTTCTCTTTGATGCTATCACAGACTCTTTGATTTCTCCTCCTTGTGGTCCTGTGGTTCTGCCAAAAGTTATGACATTTAGACCTGGAGAAACGGGAGCCAGGTTTCAACTTATTAGCAGCCAACTTAGCTGTACAACTGGCTGCTGTGAGGCGGGTTGGCTGGTGGTTGTGAGGCCAGTTTCTACCACCCATGGAGCCCAAGGGCAGGGTTGGGATCTGGCATTTCAGGGTGCAGACTCCTCCTGTCCTGGGAAATGTGGGGCAGAGTTTGACGGCAGGCAGTAGTCCTGGAAGGAAGAGTCCACAGGAGGCGGCCCGTAGGATAGAGGAATAATAATAATAGGACATTAATTATAACAGTGCTATGTTCAGCCCTACCAAATACTTACTCTGTGCCAAGCAGGATGTTAAGTGCTTTACATTTATTGTTTCTTTGAGCCCTCAAAATCAGTAGGGTAGATACTATTGTTCCCATTTTACAGATGAGAAAACTGAGGCTCTGATAACTACGTAAGGGATTTCTCTTTCTCTGTAAGGAATCGCCAGGGGTGGGGCTTAAGCTGACCTCCGGGGGAGCCTCCCTGAGTTCTCAGGCCTAAGGGAATATGGGCTGGAATTAACAGTAACAGGCCCTGATTTGAGGCCAACTGTGTCTGACTTGAATCAATCTATCAGTTCACCTGGTGATTTTCAAACCTGAGTGGACATTAGAATCACTGAGGGAACTTCTACAAACTAGAGATGCCCAGGTCCAGCCACAGACCAATGAAATCAGGGTCACAGGGATGGAAACCAGGTGTCAGTAACTCACTGCCCTCAGCCCTCTTGGCCCTAGGGTTTGTCAGGAGCACCCAGGCAGCTGAACTCCAACGGTATGGATGAGTAGTCAGGAGTAGGGAGGAGTGAGGAACCAGGGGTGGTGGTGGAAAGGGACAAGGAGGACTTTCCTGGTGGGGATCTCAAACTCCAGGGGTGTCATTTGTCCCTGCCTGGAAGCCAAACACCATCACCGTGGCTGTCATGGGAGAATTTAGCAGCTAATGAGCTCAAATCAAGCCTCAGCAGAAGTTGTATTTTAAAAAGAAATGAATGTGTAAGGTGAATTCTTCATTCTCCAAATATCTGCTGAGAACCTAGTATGTAACAGACCCTGTGCAGGGCTCTGGGACACAACGGAACAGAACACCAGATTCCCAGAAGCAGCATGAAGGTTAATTGAGTAAATGAATGAACTGGTTCTGCCATGCATTTCATGGCACTTCACCGGCCAAATTAAAACCTGTTCATTTCTTCCACCTTAAGGTTAGCCGTGCCCGCCTGTTGAAGGGCTCTCTCTAAGGAATGGCCAGGGGTGAGGCTGAAGCTGACCCCGAAGGAGCTGCTTTTCTTAGAGCGGAGGTGCCTGCAGGTGCCAGGGCTCCTTCAGCCCATCCTTTCTCAGCATTGTGGCCTCACACAATGATGAGCCGTTTCCTGTCTGGGGCTGGTGAGATATTGAAAATACTTAAGTAGAAACACATCACAGGATATGGGGACCTAAGGATCCCACAGACTCCAGCAGGGCAGGCTGCAGCCCAGCTCACAGTGAAGTCCATGGACTTTGGAGTCGAACAGACATGAATTCAAGTCTAGACTACCATTTTCTAGCCACACAGCCATGGCTGGTTAACTCAACCTGTGGGCTCTGAGGTGTCCCTGTGGCCAGGAGAATGAATATATGGGGTCAGGAAATGTTTATCAGATAAGCCTCAAGTTTTTGTTTTTTTTTGTTGTTGTTGTTTGTTTGTTTTTTTGAGACAAAGTCTCACTGTCACCAGTCACCCAGACTGGAGTGTGGTGGCACGATCTCTGCTCACTGCCACCTCCGCCTCCCAGGTTAAAGCGATTCTCCTGCCTCAGCGTCCCGAGTAGCTGGGACTACAGGCGCCTGCCACTATCCCTGACTATTTTTTGTATTTTAAGTAGAGACAGGGTTTCACCATGTTGGCCAGGCTGGTCTCAAACTCCTGGCCTAAAGTGATCCACCTGCCTCGGCCTCCCCAAGGGCTTGGGATTACAGCGTGAGCCACTGTGCCCAGCCATAAGCCTCAAGTTCTTCATCTGTAAAATGGGAATAATACCCCCTAGCACTGTAAGGATCAAATTAAATCATATTTCTGGGGAATTGCATACTTTGTACATAGTGAGTCCTCAACAGGTGATGATGGTGGTGTTGGTGGTTGTAATTGGTGCTGAGACAGAGGGACCTTCTCCGCTGAAATACTTTGGGTTTTGTACAAGACAGTGCAGGGGAGAATTGCCACAGAGCCTGGCCCTGGCTGGTAGAGGCTGGGAAGAGAGACCCAGAGAGATTCCCTTGGTCAAAGATCTGGGGAGAGGCCCATGAGGGTGGTGGAGAGAGTGGGGATGTCAAAAAAGAAACCAAATTACCCTAAGTTCTGGAGGAGACAGGCCCTGCCAAGTATTTAATTCAGCAAGAGTGAAATGAAAGGGAAACGAAATTGCTATTGTGCATCTAGGTGACAGTTTCCACCTCCGCCTGTTGGCTGCAGGGCAAACAGTAATTATGCACTAAGGCAAGGGAGCTTCAGCCAGGAACATCCTTGGAAGAATGCAGGCTGTGAACTCAGACTTTGTCTTCTTTTTTTCTCTTCCTCCCCTCTGCCCTCCCCGCCCCCCACCAGGTGACTTGGTCTCCCGTGCCATGCACCACATGCAGGGGCGTCACCCCCTGTGCCCGGGTGCCAGCCCTGCCCGCCAGGCCCGCCAGCCGCCACAGCCCATCACTTGGTCCCCCGACGCCCTCCACACGCTCTACTACTTTCTGCGGTGTCCACAGATGGAGTCCATGGAGAACCCCAACCTGGACCCCCCGAGAATGACCTTGAACAATGAACGGTAGGGATCTTCCTTGGGCTGAGCACCTGGTGGGACGTGCTCCCAAACGTGCATTGACCGACTGACTGACACTGACTGACGACTGACCAACAGGGCGAGGAAGGGGCCCTGGAACTGTGCTATGCCTGTGAGGAGGTGGCCCAGGAATTCCGATGGATGAAGGCCTGCACTGGTGTGCAGTGGGATTTTTTTTTCCTCTGAGCTGATGCAGCATGGGGCCACTGAGGCTCAGAACGTGTGCTTCTGCCTCTGTGCCCAGTCTGGCATGAGCTCACTGGGCTCTCTGAAATTCAGCTGCCTTGTTATAAAATGAGATAGTCACACCCACCTAGAAAGGTTAGTGCTCTGAGTAAAAGCATGTAGGATGGGGGCTAGGTGGGAACTGGCCCTTGGCCAGTGGTAGCTGTCACCTCTTTTCATGGGTTTATCCCATTCAAAAGTGATCAAATGATCATTGCTGCCGTCATTGTTATGAGGGGTCCTGGGTGTGTTTTGCCCCATCCATTCATTTAACACAGGAGACTATCCTGGCCCTGGCAGCTCTCTGATCTCCAGCAGGTTAGTGGTTGAATAGCCCCTGGACCCAAGCCTGTGGGCTTCTAGTCAGGTACTTTCACTAGAGGGTCCCAACACTTTCCTAGCTGGGAGCAAGGCTGCAAAGAACAGATGTGCAGGTTGTATACTGCACAACAGAACCCAATGAGGGGCATGAGTAGGGGATGCACGTGGGGCCATGTCAGCCTGAGGACAGGATACCTTTTCTTTTTTTTTTAGACGGAGTCTTGCTCTATTGCCCAGGCTGGAGTGCAATGGCACAATCTTGGCTCACTGCAAGCTCCACCTCCAAGGTTCACGCCATTCTCCTGCCTCAGCCTCCCGAGTAGCTGGGACTACAGGTGCCCGCCACCACGCCTGGCTAATTTTTTTGTATTTTTAGTAGAGACGGGGTTGCACTGTGTTAGCAAGGATGGTCTCGATCTCCTGATCTCGTGATCCACGCGCCTTGGCCTCCCAAAGTGCTGGGATTACAGGCGTGAGCCACCGCGCCCGGTCTTAGGATACCTTTTCTAATGGGTTTTCTCTGAGGGCTGCCTTTTGAAATTTTCTACCTGGAAAATATAATATTTTTTTTATAACTCGTACCAAACATTGTATATGCTGGCATGAGCCTCACATGGAGGCCACTGCTTGGCCACTTAAGGTAAGGTCTGTCCATGGGCTCAAGAGTTGTGGGTTTGAGGGTCCAGGAAGTGGGAAAGGCTTGCACTCAGTTTAGGAAGCCCCATCCACACACATTTCACCACTCAGTGAAGCCCAGGAAAGGCAGAGCCCACGGGCCTCAGTGCCCCACCTGGAGGGAGACGATCTGAGACCTCAATATTGGAAGTCCCAGGGGCTCTGCAGTCCCCTTGCCTGGCTGTCCGCTGTCTTTGGGGGGCATTGAGTCTCATCAGCTCTGTGATCCACAGCTGGCTCCACAGCCAGGTCTGCTTCCTCAGTGCCCCAGAAAACAAAGGCACTAAGGTGGATTTACTGAGTGTTTACTATGTGCTAGGCACTGTGCTGAGCAGTTTGCAGGCGGATGCTCAGTTAATTCACACACTACCAAGAAAGAGGTGTTCTTCAGAGCCCCATTTACAGATGAGTAAGTGGAGGCTTGGAGAGACTAACTGGCCCCACGACACAGGCTCATAACCACTACACTGTACCTCCTGTCACTAAGAGGAATATAAAACAGCAGTGGCCCAGTACACGCATAGTAGGGTCCCAGTAAATGGTACCATTGCTGTTATCAGTACTAGTATCCTTATGTCATCATTGTTTTACTTCTCTGGGAGTTGGAGGGCAAATGCAAGTCTGAGGAGGGCCACCCTGGGCCTGACACAGCAAGAAGGCTGCAGGTGGAGCCCTGGGCATCCTGAAAGACACCTTTGGCGGGAGCTGGGGCCAAAGCATAGGCCCTAAGCCCCAGCTGTTCCTGCTTTGTGGAAAAGTGTTGTGGTTGAAGGAGTCAGCTGGGAAGGAAAAAGAGCAGGGAAGATATCTGGGAGGAAGAGGCAGGAGGCTTGCTTGCTGTTTGGTAAGGTGCTGGGCTGAGGCCGGGTCATTCACACAAAGGTGACTGGGAGGACAGGCGCCTTCTTCAGGCCTGTTGCCCTGGCTGCTGGGCCCTCAGGCTGTCATGGCTATAGGCCCAGGGGCAGTCATTCCTCTGCTGGCACTTTCTCCCGCCCCCACTCCCCCCCCCCGCCGGGCATCTTTGTCATGTCCTGTGGCTTTCCCCCAGGAGGGTTCCCAGCCCCCTGTACTCTAATACACAGCATCAGGGTTTCTTCATGATCTGAGTTGCACAGCCCTATGTGGTTATAATAGCTGAGCTTGCATGGTAGTAGACACACGTGCATGTGTTTACGTAGCCATTTATTTAAAAACCGCACTATCTGTAGCACAAATAATTTGGTAGCAAAGATATTTTTCCATGAATCATTTCAAATGAATATCAGACACATGGGGAATTGGAACCCCCATTAGGAAAAAAAAAAAAAAACCAAATTTTTAAGTTATGACACAGAAAGGAGGACAACCCTAAAAATACCTGAGGGAGCCAACAGCCCGACGGCGCCCTGGTGGCCTGGCTCCTGTCGCTGAGCAGATCTGCTGCCCTCTGGCTCACTGACAGGGAAGGCCCTGGAGGCTGTGGGGATCCTTCCTGGGAGCGCTGAGCTTACAGCATTACTGCAGGCTGGGCTGGGCCAATGTCCCATCAAGGCCCCAGCACCCTGATACCCTCACCAGAGCTCTGGGGAAAACCTCTCCTGATGCAAATAGTAGCTGGAGTTTGCTAGGGTTCCAGAGTGGCAGAGCTTTGCTTTTGTGAGTTTGGGGATGTGCGACGTCTGTCTCTTGCTCCACTTCATCCTCCTGAAGCCCCGTCCTCTGTCCCACCTGGAAGCATGGCGGACTGAGTTCACCCAGCCAGAATTGGACGGAGCCCCTGATTTCAATGTGACCGTGGTTGTCTGGCTGTAGAGACTGTCTGTTTGGGGATTGGTGGCTCTCTGGGTTTGTTTGGGATTAAGTGACCTCCTCTACTGCCTTGCACACATGGGAGAGGGAGCTCAGTTTGGTGATATGGGTTTGGCAGCATGACATCATTGATGGAACCACTCAAGTCTGTCCTCATATTTCTGCTTTAAAGAAAGGTACCCTGATTCCTTCAATTAGGGGCTATGTGTGACCACATCCATGGCGACAAAGGGAAGGGACGTGTGTTCATCTCTTTTGTGTGGAGCTCACTGTGGCATTCCCTGCTAAGCCACCTGCTGCTTCTGCAGTGTTTGGTGGGGACTTCACATCTTTCCGTAAGGGGCCTTCTCCCCAGAGCTCTCTGCTCTGGTTTGGGAGAAGAGACAGTGGGAGGAGGGAGGGGCAGAAGCAGCAGGAACTCAGAGTGGTGAGCGGGCAGCCTTGCAGGGAATGAGAAGCCTCTAACCTCCTTTCATCTACTCCTGCAGTGAGCCTGGTGCATCAAGAAACAGTACAGGCTTTGGGGCAGAGGCCTGGGCTCAGAGGGCCCTTCCATGCCTTAGGCTCCTCACCTGTAAAATGGGGCTAAGTAATTCTATCCGGTAGGACAAAGTCAGATAACATACGCCCTTCTTTTAAAGCCCATTTCTACCTACTTCTAGGCCCAAAGAACTTCAGCAAGTTTGGTGCTATCATTACCTCCGTTTCACAAGTGAGTACAGGAGGCCGCGGGGTACCTGGCTGATAAGTGGCGAGGCCAGGATTCAAACCTGAGGTCTCTCTCACCTCAAGGCCTTTGCCTTTCCCTGTGCCAGGCTGTGGCTTTCCCAGCTGGCTGCTGAGACCTGATCCTACAGCACTGAGGCATGCTGGGTGGGCCCTGGCCTTTGGGGCCACCTTCTCTGGGGCCATTCCAGCCCCACCCCCTCACTATCCTGGGAAAGCTCTGCAGCTGGAGCCTCCCTGCACCCTTCCAGGGTGCCTTTCTCACTGGCAGCTTTGCATCCCAGGCACCAGCCAGGCACAAGGCAGAGTCTAAAACACAGAATTAGTCACAGCTGCTGCCCTGCAGGGTGTGTCATCACCGGAGATCAAGCTTAGAAAGTGAAAGAGCCTCTTGTCAGGGATCCAGGTTGCCCAGGGAGATCGGGAGCCTCCTTCCTCTGAGGTCTGGAGGAGAAAGGACAACCATCTGGTTAGATGTGGCCCTTGCTGGTTGTGCCTGGGGGCAGAGGGATGGGCTAGCTGGAACAGAATCTTTGGCAGAGGATATACCTCCTCAGCCATCACCCTTCTGGGGAATGAGAGGTCTGGGGCAGTAAGGATAAAGACTACGCAGACACGTAGGAAGGCAAGAGGGCCGCCCGCTTGCCAGCAAATTGCTGGAAGGCAGCGTCATCAAGTAGAGGAGACAGAGGGAGACATGCAGTCAGAGGTGCAGAGGGCCTGAGGTCGACAGGAGGTGACCATTTCTCCACATCAGAACCTGGGCTGCTGGAGGGTTTGGGGTCCCCCAGGCACCCTTCCAGACTGCATCTACTGTGAGCAGCAGCAAAGAAGCCAGACCCTTGAGGAGTGGCCAGGCAGAGAGAGTGGGAATGGCAGAGGGCCACTGGTCCACAGAGCGGTCCGCTTGCTAAGCCTCAGATCCTGGCCTCTTGCCTCGTTCTCCCCAGCCCTGCACAGCACGTCTCCGCCTCTGTGGAGGGTGGCACACTCAGAAGGCTTGGAGCCTGCTGGTATCCAGGACATGAAAACAGGAGGAGTGTGGAACCCTTCCCAGAGTTCTGATTGGGGGTCGGGCCTAGAAACCTCTGGTGTCATGACTTCGTAGCCAGCCAGAATAGCCCCATCTGAGGAGGGCCCTGCTATTCAAAGGCGTGCATTTGAGATCTACCTTGCCACTTTTTATAACCTTCAACCAGTCATTTAACCTCTTCAAGGCTCTTAATCATCTGTAAGGTATGCGGACCCAATGAGTTAACATATTTGGGGGGTTTTCTTGGAAACAGGGTCTTGCTCTGTCTCCCAGGCTGGAGTGCAGTGGCACAATCTCAGCTCACTGCCTCTTTGACATCCTGGGCTCATGCAATCCTCCCACCTCAGCCCCCCCAGTAGCTGGGACCACAGATGTGCCCCACCACACCTGGCTAACTTTTAAAAAATTTTTGTAGAAATGGGGTCCCACCATGTTGCCCAGGTTGGTCTCAAAATCCTGGGCTCAAGGGACCCTCCTGCCTTGGCCTCCCAAAGTGCTGGGATTATAGCCATGAGCCACTGCACCTGCTCACTACATACTTTTAGAACAGGGCCTAGGACACACTGAGTATCTGTTCTTATGATTATCAGCACGATGGTTTGTATCAGGCAGGGGAGCAGCATATACAGAGTCCAAGTGGCTAGAGGCAGCAAGGCACCCCAGAGAGACCGGCGATGGGGAGGAGCAGAGCAAGGGAACACGGGCACTGTTGTGCAGGATGGAGCACAGAAGTGGGCGGACCTTGTTGGCCAAGACACACAGGGCTGAGCTTGTGGCTGAGAAGGTCCTGCCCCCATTGGTGCAGCTATTTGTGATTGGCTGGGTTTTATTTGTCCTTCTTCCCACACTTCCCTTCTTGGGGCCTGAACCCTTCTAAGAATAAGGGCAGCAGAGGGTCCAGGAAGCCCCTCCCATGCTGCTTGTCTTGATGCTCCTATAAAGGTCTGCCCTGGAGAAGTCTGATATGTAGTTCTGCACCCCCAGACAGGTTCAGGAGAGACGAGACCAGGGTGCTGATGTTATACTAATCTTGTTCTCCAACTCACATAGAGCTCTTTTTGCTAGGGCTAGCAGGACCTGCTCAGAGGTTGAAGCTCTTGTCCAGGTGAGATCCTGGTAGACGATAAATGTGTGTCTGGCCCAGCTCTTGGCTTCCCTGTTCCGTATCAGGCTAGACAGAATTTCAAAGAGCTGGAGCCAGCGAACGTGTCAGTGCTCTGGGTTCCAGCCACTTTGTTGGAAACGCACACCTGGGGCTTTTTTTCTCTTTAAGAGACTGGCTCACTCTGTCACCCAGGCTGGAATGCAGTGGTGCAATCATGGTTCACTGCAGCCTTGAACTCCTGGGTGCAAGTGATCCTCCCACCTCAGCCTCCCAAGTAGCTGGGACTATAGGTGCATGCCACCATTTCACCTGGGGCTTCTGATGGTGACCAAGGGGAGGAGGGTGCCATAAGCCTCTTGGGTCATCCCAGAGGTGTTATCTCATCTACCTTCTAGGAGTATGACCATGTCAACTCATCTTCCTGGGCCTCAGTTTCCTCATCAGTAAAATGGTGAAGATAGTAGTATGGCTTCTACGGTTAAATGAGATAATACAGTAAAGCACTTAGCTAAATGCTAGGCACATAAAAAGTGCTCATTAAATGGTGTCTCCTCCTCATTATAATGGCCATAAACAACATTTAGATGGCATGTTTGACACTCAGAGCAGGCTCTCTTTATTGAGGTAGCATGACATTTCCTAAAATGTGATTCTCAAGTGATATCTGGGTCAGTAATACTACTACTACTACAGTTATTAATACTACTACTGATGATATTACTACTAATTAACCACTACCACTATGACTAATAATAATACAATTACTAAGATTACTGCTACTACCAGCATTACCACTACTGCTAGTTATAGCGAGCGTTATAGAGCACACATTCACAGACAGATACTGTCTTAAGTGCTTGACTTACTCCTGTTTCTCCCTGGACTCCTGCGGATCCATGGAGAAGGGCTCTAGGAGAATGATAAAGAGTGGCTTATGAGTCTCCAGCCTAATGAGGGAGACAAAAGCAAGACGGAAGTAAACAAATGAGCAAAACCCACCAGACAGTGCAGGAGGAAGCTCAGGTGCATGATGGTGCATGAGGTCAGCCCTCAGGCTCTGAAGTCTGCCTGGATTCCAATCCCAGCCCTGCCACTCACGAGCTGGGTGGCCTCAGGCATGTCATTTACCCTCTGCATCTCAGTCTCTTTTTTTTTTTTTTTGGGGGGGCAGCGGGGCAGGGGTGGGGCAGGGGCTGGATGGAGTCACACTCTGTTACCCAGGCTGGAGTGCAGTGGCACGATCTTGACTCACTGCAGCCTCCACCTTCCAGATGCAAGTGATTCTCCTGCCTCAGCCTCCCGAGTAGCTGGGATTATAGGCACATGCCACCATGCCTGGCTAATTTTTGTATTTTTAGTAGAGACAGGGTTTTGCCATGTTGGCCAGGCTGGTCTCAAACTCCTGTCCTCAAGTGATCCACCTTCCTAGGCCTCCCAAAGTGCTGAGATTACAGGCATGAGCCACTTGCGGCCAGCCCAGTCTCTTCTTAATAGGTGATTAATAGTGTCAACTTCATAGGGGTGTTGTGGGGATCAAGTGAGTTAATATACATAAGGCACTTAGCATAGTGCCTGGTACACAGTAAGAAGCAGCAGCAGCAGCATCACATTTAAGAGGATTCTGAGAAGGCTGGAGTAGGTGGGGGACATGTCGGAGCAGACCTGGGATTTTTAACTGGGCCTTAAAGGACAGCCACAGAAGATTGGGAGAGGTGAATGGCATGGGCAGCAAGAGTCATAGAAGGACTTTTGTTGTTTCAGAGCATGAATTTTATAACAGAAATGGACCTACACTTTAAAAACATAAAAATTAGTTGAGTGGTTGTTGTTGTTGAGACAGGGTCTCACTCTGTCACCCAGGGTGGGATGCAGTGGCGTGATCACGGCTCACTGCAACGTCGACCTCCTGGGCTCAGGCAATCCTCCCACCTCCACCTCCTGAGTAGCTGGGACTGTTGGCCCACTCTGCCATGCCTGGCTAATTTTTTTATTTTTTGTAGAAATGGGGTTTCGCCGTGTCACCCAGACTGGTCTTGAATTCCTGGAGTCAAGGGATCTGCCCAGTCAGCCTGCCAAAGTGCTGGTGTTACAGGCGTGAGCCACAGTGCCCAGCATTTTTTATTATATATATATTTCTTTTCTTTTCTCTTTTCTTTTCTTTTGGCTAGTCAAGTGAAACAGTGGGAGTGGCGAAGGAACAAGGAAATCTGTAACTGGTTGTGATCGATTAATTGTAGAAACCACTGCACTCAGACCAGCAGTTGGTTTTTTAAGTCATCGCTGATTGTTGTTTATCTAGGCAAATACTTCAAGGTCAAGCTGTAGGTCAGTGGTTTCCCAGTGGAAAAAGAAGTGCATCCTCTGAGCCGCTGTGGGATGAGGATCAAATCCCAGCTCTTTTCTTCTGGCTCTATGATCCAAGCAAATCATCTTACCTCTCAGAGTCTCCGTTTCCTCCTGCATAAGGTAGAGATCTGAACTGTGCCTGCTTCCTAAGGTGGGGAAATGCCCTGATACGAGTGAGGTACCACATCAAGGCACCTCTTTGTTCCATTCCAGATGCAGCAGGGAGAATGTTTCCCTCAGACAGCACTTTACATAAAGAGGACATGCCCACAGATAGGCTGTGTGTTCAGTCTGAAGAAGTGGGCTCGTTAATCTTTTGCTCAGCTTGCGAAAGTGTTTTCTTATCAAATAATAGAGATGATGGCAGTGGTGGCTTTATGCTACTGACTTCTGAGTTCCTTAAATACCATTTCAAGAAGATTTGCAATGTTAAGCTCTTTTCTCTCCTTTCCTCTCCCCCTTTTTGTGCATTAAATTTCCATCTGTTTACCCAAAATGGAAGTAAATGAAATAAGAATAGCTATTGGGTGAATTAAGTACTTGTTTCCGTGTATTCCCCAGGCTGGCACATCCACTAGCCTCTGAAGGGACTTGTTCACAGTCTACGGTGCACACAGGGAGCTTCCTTTCCACTGCCAGGAACCTCCCTCACTGTACGCTCTTTTTGTTTCCTTCAGAGCACCTTCCTCTATCTGAAGTCACCTTGCTCATGTCTGTTCCCTCCCCACCCCTCTGGAATGTAAGTGCCCTCGGTCTGCCCTGTTCCTGCTGTGTCCTCAGCACAGTCCCAGGCATGTGTAGTAGGCAGTTAAATATTTTGCTAAGTTAATGAAATAGGTGGTAGAACCTAATGGTTGGGTTCTTTGGAGTTAAAAAGGCCATGATATGGGGTCCCGGCTCTGCCATTTCCTAGCTGTGTGACTTTGGGCAAGTTACGTGATTTGCCAAGTCTCAGTTTCCCTTGCTTGAAATAGAAAATGACTTGAAATATTTCCAGAATTTTTTGTGAGGGGCGAATAAGGTAGCTACATGTTAAGGATGTGGCAGAGAATAAGGTGTTTGTGCATGGCAGCTGCTATTATCAGAATAATCACTGTTACCATAAGCCTGCGTGAAGGCCAAAAAGACCACGTTGTGTTCAATGAACAAGCAATCCAGAAACATTTGTAACAGCAAAAATCATATCTTCTCAACATGCATGTCTTCTCTCCTTCTCATCCATCCCTCCCTCCTTCCCTCAGTCCCTGCTCTTTAGTCCATCTTAACTCAGCCCTCAGAGTAGCTGGGAGCCAGGTGAGTGAGAAAGATGAGAGGCTCACACCTGTAATCCTAGCACTTTGGGAGGTTGAGGTGGGAGGATCACTTTAGGAGTTCAAGACAAGCCTGGGCAAAATAGTGAGACCCCATCTCTATAAAAATAAAAATTAGCTGGGCATGGTGGTGCATGCCTGTAGTCCTAGCTACTCAGGAGGCTGAGTGGGAGAATCTCTTGAGCCCAAGAGTTCAAGACTGCTGTGAGCTATGATCTCACCAACTGCACTCAGCCTGGGCAACAGAGCAACACCCCATCTCACCAAAAAAAAAAAAAGGCAAAGAAGATAAGGTAGACGAGAAGACCACATCACAGAAGGCTTGTTAAACGAGGCCCATTTTGGACATCTACGAAATTTAGCCTTATCACACCCTACCCAAGGATTTCAAAGAACTCTACAAACTGGATTCCATTTAGCTATGGGATCAAAGACGAAGCCAACTATCAGTCACTCTTTAAAGTTGGTGACGTCCCTGGCCCCACGCCTGCTGGTTTAGCCATAGTGCCTATGTGCAATGGACTGCGGCTGCTGAAGGTTAAACTTGGAAGAGACCTGATCTATCTTTACGTGGGCTGGAAGCATCTAGACAAAGTTTTACAGTTTACAGAGCTTGTTTAGTACACAGCTCTCTAACAGGTCCTTACAGTAGCTCTTGGAGGAAACTATTACATTCCCATTTATAGCGAGCAGACTGAGGCCTTGAGGAGGTCCGAGGCATGCCCACCATCACAGCTGGTAAGAGACAGATCTCAGCTCAGGAATGGAGGTCGGTTGTATCAATAATAATGCAATGAATTCACATTGCTCAGAGTGGTAAATCCCTTCCCCTCCCAGGAGGGGAGAGGGTGAGACCCCGGAGCCGGGGATCTCGGTCAGCACCTCCTTTTCCCAGAGCGGTGTGGGCAGCTTGCTCTCAGCTACTTGGGGCCTCTTTCTCAGCAGGCTTGCATTGGCTGGCTCTGGGAGGCCAGCCTGGGGGTGGGCGTCTGCCCAGCATCCGAGAAGGAGCGAGCCAGGGATTCGGGGCAGGAAGTGTCAGTGCCACATAACAGGGATAGAGACAGGACAGGATCCTGGCCCGGCCTCTGACAAGCACCCCCCAGGGCTGGCTGTTGCATGGGACTTCCTGTCCCATTGTTGGACCCACCGGTCCTCGCAGAAAAGAAGACTGGGAACTGCCGGGCCCGAGGAGCTTCATTCATTTGGAGTGTTTTTGTAACACGGGCAGCAACAATCCCCTTTGTCTGCAGTCTTGCCAGGATTCTCAATGCAGGGAATTCCCAACTCTAAAGGGAATTGATTTTGCTTTCTTAAAGAAGCCTGCTTCCGAGGCGAAGCTGGAGAGCATTCAGACCCTCAGGATGGGGGGAGGACAGGAGCTGGGTGGTATCTGGAGCCAAGCCGAGCTGGTTCCTGGCGTGCTCTCACTTGCCTGCCAGGCAGCTCTTGGGATTTCTATCCTCTTGCAAGACCAGCCGCCCTGACAGCTGTCTGTGACTTGCCCCTCCCCGCTTTGACTGCTTTAATATTTGTGGATTTGAGGGGAAAGGGCTCTTAAGGTGCCTGGGGTGCACCCCCTGAGGCACTGGAGCCCAGCCTTCTGTTCCCGGCCGAGTTCAGGGCCTGATGAGGCTGAGAGAGCAAAAGCTGGAGGTTGGGCGGAGCGGTGCCGTGGGCCCCAAGGCAAACCTTTCTCCATCACGCCTCCTTCCAGCTTTCCACCCACCAGGGCTCAGAGCATTTCATGCCTGCAGTTTGGTATCCTGAAAGACCCCCAGGGTGGTTTGGGGGGTTTTGTTGTTGTTTATAATTGACACATAATAACTGTATATGTTTATGGGGTACAATGTGATGGTTAAATACATGTATACATTCTATAATGATCAAATCAGGGTCCTTAGCATGTCCATTGCCTCAAACCTTCATCAGTGCTTTATGGTGGTAACTTTCAAGATCCTCTTTTCTAGCTGTCTTGAAACATATAATACATTGTTATTAACTATAGTCATCATACTGTGTAAGGGAATACCAGGACTTATTTTTCCAATCTAACTACAACTTTGTACCTGTTGACCCACCTCTCCCCCCAACCCCACTCCAGCCTCCAGTGACCATTCAGAATGGTTGTTTTTTAGAACCAGACTAATCACCTTTGTCTAGCTATGTCACCTTGGACATGTGACCTACCCTCTACAAAGGCTGTTTCTGCATTTGTAAAAATGCAGACTAATAAGTATATCTCCCTCGCAGGGTGACTGTTTCAGAGGTAACATATGCAACCTCACACCCACCTGGCACAGAGTAGGCCCTGAGCACATCTCAGCAAGGTGGCTTTGCTGCTCAGAAGCCAATGCCAGTCTTCCCTGCAGCTGCCCTTGTGATGTGGATGCACAAAGCAGGGTCAGGCCCTGTCCTCTGAGCTTGCACTGTCTCTTCCTCTCTCTCTGTCTGGGCTGGAGTGTACCACCCCTCCATGACCCCCATCCCATCAACAGCTCAGGTCAAAACACTGCTTGCCAGTCAAGAATTTCACTCTCATATCAGGCTTCAAGAGCCCTCACGCCACTGCTTCTTCCTAGAAGTTTCTAGAAACTCTTCAGCTGACAATCTGAATGGGTCATCTTTCTGCCTTATACTATGAGAGTTGGGGAAGGTGAGTGCTGTGTGATTACAGTTAGCTGAATCCAAACAGGATTACCTATCCCAAGAGCCTAAACAAAAGTCCCCCAACCCTGGCCCACAGCTCAGCAGATAGGATAAACCTCGGGGTCCTCCCACGTCTGTCTTCTTGGCAGAGGCCAATGGGTGGTGGCAGGTGCCCTCGGGAGGGAGGTATGTTTGAGCAGGTTGGAGGTCCCCGCCTGTCTGGTTTCCATGTGGTGAAAGAGCTCGTGGTCTCTGGTGAGCCACCACAAACACCGCTCATGGGAGAAGAAAGCGAGTCCCTGGCACATGGCTGCAGTGAGCCCCATGGGTGGGGCGTGGCCAGTAGGCCTGGGAGCTGCTTCCCAATGAGGTGGAGAGATGCCGGCTTTCACACCTGCCACCCAAGGGTGTGGGAAGCACTGAGGCCCAGGCCTGCTGGACCAGCTGCCTGCCCTTGTGCTGGGGCAGCCATGCTGGGGAGTTCTGGCCTGAGAAATGAGGCAGATGTCCTGGCCCTTGCAGGGCTAGGAGCTCTCCCTGCCGTGTGGGAAAGCGAGGAGGGGTGGAGGCCCATGCGCAGTCTCCACTGGAATCTGTACCATCTCACCCACACGAAATGCCGCCCTGGAACCAGGCCTGATTCCTAAGGACAGATGGCTGTGTACCCTCCACTGAGGCTCAGACACGGTAACATCTGCAGAACCACAGCCACCTTTTCCTATTCCTGGTGACAGCTCCATCCCTACATCCTAGCTGCCTTCCCAGAAGCTGCCTTCCCAGAAGCCACCTTGGCCCCGGGCTGCCGTGCTTCCCCTAGGAAGTTGTTGCATTTGGAACACTCTCCTGTGCAATAGCTGTCTTTTTACTGGGGAATTATTTCCTTTTTTTTCTGAAAAGAACTCTTTGCCAATACCCAAGCCAACTCAAGCTTCTAGGAATGAAAGACGAAGCAGCTCCCCCTTTCGTGAGAGTGCTCTGGAGCCCTTAATGAACAGTCCTGGAGGCCGGACGCAGCAGCTCAAGCCTGCGCAACATAGACCTGTCTCTACAAAAAAAAAAAAACACTTTTTAAAAATTAGCCAGGCCTGGTGGCTGAGATGGGAGGATCGCTTAAGCCCAGCAAGCAGGTTGAGGCTGCAGTGACCCTTGATTGCACCACTGCACTCCAGCCTGGGCAACAGAGGAAAACTCCCCGTTTTTTGTTTTTTGTTTGTTTTTGTTTTTGTTTTTAAAACAAAAACAAAGTCCTGGAGTAAGAGCAGCCCCTGAAACCATGGTAGCAGCTGGAGGACTTTGCCTCCAGGAGTGAGAAACATGCCTTGTGTTTATAAATTCAAAAATGAAGTTTCTAACACCGGCTTCTGTGCGGAGAGATGGGGAAACGTCAGTGAGCAAAAATGCCTCTGCCTTCAGAGAAGATATAGTCCAGAGGAGAGACCGTACAAAACCATACCAACCAAATCATTGCAAATTGGACGAGTGCTGTGCAGGCACTAAGGTAGGGCTGAGTGCTGGAGGGCAGAGGGAGGCCTGCTTCTGAGGGGGTGAGCAGGAGGACCTCCTCCTGCCTGCAGACAGCATGAGCCCGGCAGCAGGCCACCGTGGGCAGTCTCTCTAGCCGAGGGCAGTACGGTGACCATATGTTCTGGTGTGCCCAGCCCAGTTCTAGTTTACACCCGGTAGTCCCAGTGCTGGCGGTAGCTCTCTTTTTCCCTTTCAAAAGTCATCCAGCTGGGCACGGTGGCTCACGCCTGCCATCCCAGCACTTTGGGATGCCAAGGTAGGCAGTTGGCTTGAGTCCAGGGGTTCAAGACCAGCCCGGGCAACATGGTGAAACCTCGCCTTACAAAGAACACAAAACTTAGCCGAGTCTGGTGGCACACACCTGTAGTCCCAGCTACTTGGGAGGATGAGGCAGGAGAATCACATGAGCAGAGGAGGTTGAGGCTACAGTGAGATGTGATTGTGCCACTACACCTCCAGCCTGGGCGACAGAGCAAGACCCTGACTCAAAGGAAAAAAAAAGTCATCCAGTTTGCATGACAAATTGTGGTTACTGTGCCTAATATCATCATCCCTAAGATGGAGGAGTTGGGCCAGCACCAGGTGAAGAATCTGAGTGGCTGTGGAATGTCATCTTCAGAAGCTTAGACTCAGGGACACTGCCCAGGTTCATATCCCAGCTCTGCTCCTTGGCAGGTGCATGACATAGGGCAAGTGACCTCACCTCTCTGGCCCTCAGTTTCCCCATGTATAAAACGGAAATAATAATAGTACCTGCTACATCAGGCAGCTCTAAGAAGCAGATGAGCCACTAGATGTCCAGGGCACTGTGGCAGCTGCTTAGTAAACGCTCCAGAAATGTTAGCTGTTTGCATTTTTCTATTACTCCTGAAGGCCCTGATTGTCACACGGTGGACCTCCCATCTCACTGCTAACAGAAACTCTCAGGCTCCTATGGGGACCTGAAGGGTGACCCCTGGGGAGACACAAGGGAAATCACCCAGAGCTAGTCATGACTTGGTTGGCTCTAAATTTCTGTCCCTATGTGTATCTGGGCAAGCTTCATCTAGTGCCTCTAATCTGTACCAGATGAGTTTTAATAGGAAAAGTGAATTTCCCCCCCCCCCCAGAGAACCCAATGCCCCACCTCAAGCAGAAGTCACCTGGGCACAAGTGGAGATTCTGCTGTGGGCTCAGCTGCGGTTCAGAGGCAGCCTGGCTGCTGGAGGAGATGAGGCTGGGGGTCCGAAGAGGGAACCATGCCCAACTCTGCCTCCAAGCCATGCCAAACCATTCTGGTTTACCCAGCAGTTCTAGAAAAATAATGAGTACAAGATGTGAGCTGGACTAGAAATGTTTCTTTGGTGCAGAGTGAAATCTGACTTAGCGGGACAATGTTGGTTTTTTATCCTACGTGGATGTTTTGGCTTGGTATTAGGCCGTGGTGGCTGTGTGGAAATCTCAGGGAAGCTATGGTGAGGGCCTCATTGCTGGCCCTGCAGAGCCAGCCCTGACCTTCCCAAAGAAGTCTGTTCGTGGAGCCGTCACTTGCTTAGGAAAAGCTTGGCATCTTTGCAAGTTCCTGACGGTGCCACTTGGCACCCCCAGCCCAGACAAGACAGGGAGGAGCATGGGAGCAGTGTGTTTCACGGCATGATCCATGAGAAAGGGTGAGTCCAGGGGGATGTGACCCCATTCAACCCCAGTGCTTGGCTCTGACTCCCACTGAAGGTGGGGCAAAGTTAGTGGAAGAATTTAGGGCTGAAGGTAGGAACCACTGGGGCCATCCTCTCCCTTGATCGTCATCTCTTGCCTGTCCTTTCCTGGACTCCCAGGGTGCTTGCAGGTGGGGCAGGCCACAGCTTAGCGGGTGATGGGGAGCTCTCTTGGAAGCAAGCCTGTGGCACAGTGTACCTCCCAGCCCTGGGAGCCGGGCCTGCACCCCAGAACGTTGTATGCTCACACCCACCCTGTCTTCCCAGAGCTAAGCTTGGGCCTGGTCTCGAGGCCCTTCTTAGCTTGTGGGTGTGTCCAGGGTCTGCCTGAGTCTTTGTATTCAGCTCCTCCTGGGTGGATGGAGAAGGGCACAAACCGGCTGGCCTCATTTGCTTGGCCTGCCAGGATGGGAACAGAGACCCGAGGCTTGTGCTTGGGGCCCGGGTCATGTGGCCTCTGGTTACAGGCCTGTGCCCCATCTGCCAACCTGACTCACTCTGGGGTCCCTGCCTACCCCGGGGAAGAACAGAGCCTGCTTTGAGCTGGAAACTGGAGGGGTTTCCTGTTCCATGTTGTTAAGACACCACTTATAGGACTGTAATCCCAATAAATCATATGCTTTCTGAGTGCAACAGGGTTGTTTTTTTTGTTTGTTTGTTTGTTTGTTTGTTTTCCAGGCTGCAGGGGCCTCTTAAAACCAAGGCCTTGGCTGGGCATGGTGGCTCACGCCCATAAGCTCAGCACTTTGGGAGGCCGAGGCAGGCAGATCAGGAGGTCAAGAGATTGAGACAATCCTGGCCAACATGTTGAAACCCTGTCTCTACTAAAAATACAAAAATTTGCTGGTCATGGTGGTGCATGCCTATAGTCCCAGCTACTCAGGAGGCTGAGGCAGAAGAATCGCTTGCACCAGGGAGGCGGAGGTTGCAGTGAGCTGAGATCGTGCCACCTCACTCCGGCCTGGGTGACAGAGCAAGACTGTCTCAAAACAAAACAAAACAAACCAAGGCCTTAAGAAGCTTATACTCTTTCATTTTTTAAAGGGGGGAATAATAGCTTTCTCAGTCCTAGTTCCATTGAGGGGCCTTAGGAGACCCTTGGATTGAACAATCAGGCTCACCTGTATGATTAACTTAAAGGCAGATGAGAGAGACTGTTATGGCACCTGGGTCTAGCATCCCTATTGCAGCTGAATTGGCCGTGTAACCTTGAGCAAGGCGCTTAGCCTCTCTGGGTTTCCTTTTCCTCCTCTAGCAATGAGAGGAGGTGGTCAGGGATTTCCCATGCTTCTCATATAAAAAGACCCATTTCCATTGGTCTATTTCATGTGCTGCCCTTTATGTACACAAAGACAAATGCTACCAGAAAGCCACTGACCTTTTTAAGTGGCTTTGTCCATCTCTGGGATTTGTCTGCATGTATGCATATGACGGTATTTAGGTTAGGCCTTTGGGCTGTTTGCAGCATTTGAGGACAGATCAGGGGTTGCTGATCCCTTGAAGTAATTCTCTGCTCACCCACCCTCGCCACCACACACGTTCATGACCCAAGGCCTCTGGGTCTGTGTTCCTTGCTGTTGCCCCTTCCCTTGTGTGAGTTTTTTCACTGCCAAGGCCAAGAGGCTGCACTGCCAGAAACAGTTTCCAGCTCACACTCGACATAGTGGTTGCATTTGTTTTCTCTGTTTTATGAGCTGGGATGGAGTGGGTGGTGGGCAGCCTGCTGGCAGACTTTTGCAGGCTTTACATGTTTATACTTGCTGTGGGGGGAAGGCAAAGAGTTGGCTGGACTTTCAGAAAGCTGGAGCTGAGGCATTTAATAGAACCAGATTCCTATAGCCCTTTTTGCTATTATATATTTTCTCTGTCAACAGACACTAAACTAGTAATAATAGTTAACATTTATGGAGAAGTTACCATGTTCCAAATATGATGGTAAGTATTTTACATGCATGCTTCTAGCTGTTTTGTGAGGTGGTCCTATTATTTATAACCATTTTGCTGATGGAACAACTGAGACCGGGAGAGGTGAAGTAACTTGCATAGACCCACATAGCTGAACTCATTGGGAATACACTGGATTCCAACCCAGGCCATCTCCCTCAGGAGTCCGTGCTCTTGGTCACCATGCAGTAGGTACAGCTACTATCGTATGGAGTCTGTGAAATAAAAGCAAAAGGGCTCTCACAATGAAAGGAGTTAAAAACCACGAACTTTGGCAATTTCTTCTTTAATACAAAATATGGCCCACAGAGGATGACGATCTGCCCAAGGTTATAGAGCAAGTTCAGTTGTATAAAAGAAACTAGAACTTTCTCCCAGTGAGGATGCCACAGGGAAGGGGTCTAGGACCTTCGGATCCCTTTGCCAGGAGCATGCATGCAAGCCATACACCACTCTAGGATTCACCAGACCGTGTGCCACCAGGGGCGAAATGCCAGCTCTGTGCCAGCGCCGCCTGCCAGCCCCTACCAGCTTTGTCCTAGCCATCAGCTGTGGTCTTCCACAGCAACAGTCCTCAAAGTGTGGTCCAGGGACCCCTGAGGTCCCAGGGACTCTTGCCAGGAGTCCACAGGGCCAAAACTATTTTCATAACAAGAAGTTATTTGCCTTTTCATTCTTGTTCTCTCACAAGTATCCAGGAGACTTTTCTAGAAGCTGTGTGATATCATGATGTCATCACTCTGACGGCAAATGGGACATGAGCTTGTGCGTTCATGTGTTTAACATTTTCTCAGTTTTAATTTCTGATACAGCCAATATCCGTAGAATAACACACATAAACAAAAGCTCTTTGAGGTCCTCATTAATTTTTTTTTTTTTTTTTTTTGAGTTGGAGTTTCACTCTGTCACCCAGGCTGGAGTGCAGTGATGTGGTGTGATCTTGGCTCACTGCAACCTCCACCTTCTGGGCTCAAGCAATTCTCCTGCCTCAGCCTCCTGAGTAGCTTGGACTACAGGTGTGTGCCACCACACCCTGCTAATTTTTGTATTTTTAGTAGAGATGGGGTTTTGCCAAGTTGGTCAGGCTGGTCTCAAACTCCTGACTTCCAGTAATCCGCCCACCTCAGCCTTCCAAAGTGCTGGGATTACAAGTGTCAGCTGCCATGCCCGACCAATTTTTAAGAGTATATATAGAGTCCTGAGACCAGGGAAAAAATTGAGAACCACTATTCTGAGGTATCAGATCCAGCTAAGGAAAAATTCAGCAGGCAGAAAGGCTGAACAAAGGGAGCTTTTTCAGCCCCGACCCGGTCTCCTGGCTCTGGCCCTGCAGATATCTGCATTCGGGCACGGAACGACCAAGCTCAGCCTACGGGAAACGCAACAAGCGGGGAATGAGAACTTCTTTGGGATCTTGAGGATGGTGCACACATCAGTCATTCTCAGCCTTGCTCCTTCAGGCCCTCTCACCCTGGAGTTCTCACACAGCCACGCTGTTGCAGATGGGAGTTTTTAAAGGGGTTTTCCAGAATGGCCAGACATGCAGGTCCAGCTCATCTCAGCCTGCCCAGCAGACTCCATGGAATTATCAGGAAGGAAACAGTAGCCTGGAACCCACAGCCCATGGAAGGCATGTTCCTGAGAAAGTCCATGAATTACTTCTCTTTTTACCTTCCCACAGATCCCAGGCTGGGGAGGTGGGTGGACCAAGGAGTAAGGCCTGAAGGGATCAGTTTGGGGGCCTTGTTTGTACATGTGGGCACCAGCCCCTCCCCAGAGGCAGAGGGCTAATCTAGATTTCTGTATATTGAAAGAGGCAGAGGGCTAATCTAGATTTCTGTATATTGAAAGTATTAATCAGTTTTCATTCAGGAAGCAGCATTCTGGGTATTGTAAGCAGGAGATGATTTAATGCAGGGAGTTGGGGGTTCACAGAATCATTGGAGGAGCTCGTGGAGCAGGGTGTAGGCTGAGCATCCAGGAATGACGAACTCGCCCATTAGGGGAGCTGCTCCCTGAGACAGCGCCTGGAACTGTGAGTTTGAACAACACCTCTGGAGCTGCAGTTCAGGAGTAAAGCTGGAATCAAGAAGGCGTTGCAGCCAGGCACGGTGCCTCATGCCTGTAATCCCAGCATTTTGGGGGCCGAGGTTGGCAGATCGCTTGAGCTTAGGAGTCGAGACCAGCCTGGGCAACATGGTGAAACCCCATCTCTGCTAAAAATATAAAAAATTAGCCAGGCATGGTGGTGCATGTCTGTGGTGCCAGCAATTTGGGAGGCTGAGGTGGGAGGTTAAAAAAAAGAAAAAAAGACTTTGCTATTGCTTTTATCATTTCACCATCACTACCACTACTCTGAAGCCTCAGATAGGTGGAAACTGGACTGGAATGTTCTGTAGGAAAAAAAAACCCTCAGTTTTCATGACCTGGTTTGCTAGCAAAAACAGACAAAGGGAACACAAAGGTGGCCTCTGCCTCCCATTCACTTACCAAATTTCATGCAGCATATCTTAATGATAAAACCTAATTTCCAGAATCCCAGCTGCAAAGGAGACTGGGAAATGCAGTTTTCAATTTTCCACCTCACCAGCCAAGATGGTAAAGTGAGGGCTGAATGAGCCCAGTGTATACCCAGTGAGTCCAGTGTATACCCACCAGGACTATCAATACTGCATTTTCTCAAGTGTTGAGTTCTAAGGAGCATGAGGCAGGGGGATGAACCAAGATGCCACCTGATTAGACTTCATGATTTCCCGAATTCCCTCTTGGATTTCCCCTAGTGCAGCTAGGAGATGCCCTCTTAGAGTTTTAGTAGCCACACGTGGTGCTTTGTCTTGGCTGTTGGCCACAATAGGGAAGAATGGCTGGCAAATCCACGGATTATCTTTTTGTTTACACTTCAGTCTCCAATGCTGATGGTTGAAATAAAGGCTTTTCCTGCAATCAGAAGGACTGATATATAGAAGCATGTCTGTAAGCTTGCCTTCCAGCCCTGTAATATAAGAATTGTGAAATCTAAAAATATTTGGGGGGAATTGGGCATTTATGTTTAAGGGAACTCTTATAAACAGAGGGATAATTCATGAATAGATTGTTGTTTCTTCCTAGACTACACAAGATCCCCCCATAGAATCTCAGCTTCCTACTCTAATGAGTCAACACTAGGCTCTTGAAAATTATACACCATTCTTTTCTGGGCAGAAACATGACTTGGTCCATAACTGAAAACCTGGGTACACTATAGTAAGTTACTGATGTTCATCCATACTTTTTGTCACTCAGCAAAACTTTCTACTAATAATTTTGTTTGTTTGTTTGTTTTCTTGAGACACGGTCTCTCTTTGTCTCCCAGGCTGCAGGGGAGTGGTGCGATCATAGCTTACTGTAGCCTCCAGCTCTTGGGCTCAACCTGTCTTCCTGCCTCAGCCTCCCAAGTAGCTGGGACTACAGGCGTGTGCCAGCAGGCCTGGCTTCAGTGAACATTTATTGAGGACCTGCCATGTCAGGCCCCAGGCTGGTCATATTTCAGAGAATACAGAGATGAGGAAGTCATTGTTCCCGTGCTTAGAAGGAACAGTCTGGTTAGGAAGACAACATGCATTCATGGCTATTGCTGTAAAGGAAAGTTTTCAGTGATCTCAGAGCAGGAAGATATTTCTTTCTCTTTTTTTTTTTTTTTTTTTTTTTGAGACGGAGTCTCACTCTGTCACCCTGGCTGGAGTGCAGTGGCATGATCTCGGCTCATTGCGATCTCTGCCTCCCAGGTTTAAGCGATACTTATGCCTCAGCCTCCTGAGTAGCCGGAACTACAGGTGAGTACCACCACGCCCGGCTAACTTTTGTATTTTTAGTAGAGACGGGGTTTCACCATATTGGGCAGGCTGGTCTCGAACTCCTGACCTTGTGATCCACCTGCCTCAGCCTACCAAAGTGCTGGGATTACAGGCGTGAGCCACCGCACCCAGCCCCCCTTTTTTTTGGGGGGGTGGGGAGAGAGAATCTGGGAAGGCTTCTGAAGCAGGTGGCATTGGAATGGAGTCTTGAAGGATAAATAGGATCTAGACAAGCAGGGGTGAGAGCTGTTCGTTCTCATGCATAGATGGGAGCAGGCAGGGTGGGCCTGAGGTCCATGAGTGCTGGTGGTGTGTCCTGGTAACAGGGGTGAGTCACGGCAGGAGATAGGGTGAGGTGAGGTTCTGGGAGTCCTTGAGGGCCAGAGATAGTGAGGCTTTACTGGCCTGTGGCCCTCCCCTTCATACAGATTGGTATGCTCAGTGGACCAGTTAAGTGGTTCAAACCCAGGAATATTGGAAATGACAGAACCAGAACATCAGAATACCTTCCCAAAGGAAAGACCTTTAAGATCACTTCTGATTACAGAAAATCCCTAACTTATGATGGTGCAACTTACAATTTTTCAGCTTTACAGTGGTGTGAAAGCGATATGCATTTAGTAGAAACTACTTCGAGTACCCACACAACAATTCTGTTTCACTTTCATACAGTATTCAGTAAGTTACACTGATGTTCAACATTATTATAAAACAGGTTTTGGCTTATATAATCTTGCCTAACTGTAGGCTAATGTAGGTGTTCTGAGCATGTTTAAGGTAGGCTATTCAGTAGGTGAGGTGTATTCAATGCGTTTTCGCTTAGGATATTTTCAACTTACTATGGGTTTATTGGTATGTAACCCCATCCTAAGTCAAGGAGCATTTATATTTGTTTGCCACTTTTTAAAATAAAAGCATTCTTTGCCCTCAAGGAGAGAAGAAACTTTTAGAACTCTGGAGATGACCCGAGCTTTTGGAGACCTGAGATAGGGGTTCCGAGGGCAGCCCAGGCTGACTCCCTGGAGGTGGCTTACTTCCTAGCCAAGGAGAGAGAATGGACATCTTTTCCCTGGCGGGAGCACTTAGCTGCATGTCAAGGGGAGAGACCACAGTGACCGCACAGGCGGGACGCTCCAAGAGCCCCGAGGGAGTTGGGGTGGCTGGAGGCCTGGCCGCCTGCCCCTGGCTGCCTGCCCGCTCCCTGGCTTAATTTGTAAGGAAGGACAAGAGTGGCATCGGGAAGGGCTGGGAACAGGCAGGAGCCGGGAGGCTGACTTTTGGGCTGTCATCAGAGAGAACAGCATGAGTGAGGGACAGGGCTCCAGGGCTGCCTTGTTCCTGTGATGGAGCAGGGAAAGAGCTCCGTCCATTCTGGGCAGAGCAGGTGGGTGTCCCACGAAGTCATGAAGCCACAGGCTGCCATCCGGGCCCCTCGGTGGCGGGGAGGTCTGTTGGACGGCGAAGTGGTCTCCTGAGGGGGCTCCAACACGGAGCCTTGCCAGAGCTGGCAGAGGACAGAAACGCGTCCCCGCCCCCCAGCTGAATCTGAGCCGCTCGCCGAGGGCAGGGGCGGGCGCGGCCTGAGCCGCAGTCAGGGCCCAGCACAGGCTGTGCACATGGCGTCCCCTGGTGGCACAGAGCGGGCCTCATGAGCGGCGCCCCGGGAGTTTGCAGCTCTAAGCCTGCCGCCGCCTTTCCCTGCTTTTGTGGGCTCTTAGTGATACTCGGACCCGCTAGGACCATTCCTCCCTGTGGGACTTGAAGCCGCTACTCTTTTTCTTTCTTTTTTTTTTTTTTTTTTTTTTTTTTGAGACGGAGTCTCGCCCTGTCGCCCAGGCTGGAGGGCAGTGGCGCGATCTCAGCTCACTGCAAGCTCCGCCTCCCGGGTTCACGCCATTCTCCTGCCTCAGCCTCCAGAGTAGCTGGGACTACAGGCGCCCGCCACCAAGCCCGGCTTATTTTTTGTATTTTTTAACAGAGACTGTGTTAGCCGGGATGATCTCGATCTCCTGACCTCGTGATCCACCCACCTTGGCCGCCCAAAGTGCTGAGGTTACAGGCGTGAGCCACCGAGCCCGGCCGAGGCCACTACTCTTTTCTGAGCACCAAACTGGGGGCAACCTGGCCTGGCACACGAAGTGGTGTCAGCCCACCTCAGTCTAGGTGCCAGATGAGGAAGGAGTGGTCATTAATGTTGTACAACAGCCTAATATGCATCATCCCATTTGGCCTCATGACAGCCTCCATAAGGAGGTATCACACGTGTGCTACAGATGGAGAACCAGACTCGAGTGTGCTTGTCGGAGGGGATGGTGACCTGACCCTGCTGGTGGCAGCCCTGGGTTTGGACCTGGGTCTGTGAGACTCTTAGCTGTGCAGCCTCTCCCCTCTGCATAGAAGAACACTTGGCGACCCTGACTGAACTCTTTGGAGGGGGAAAGGTCCCCAATTCCACACACTGGGGAACTGCTCCTTCCCTGGGCCACCTGAGGGCCCTCAGGTTCTGCTAATGGCCCATGATGGAAATTCCTTCTGTGCATTGCAGGTAGTCGGGGTCTCTGTGAGCAGAAAGAGCAGGTCCCTTGCAAGGGGTGATCAGCCTTGGTTGCCACTTGTGAGCATGTGTGTGCTTAAGGGGTCCCCTGCTGCCCTTCAGGGAGCACTCTCTCTAGGCCTGACCCTCTGCTGCCCAGCAGGGAGCCCCCCACCCTAGGACTGACCCTCTCTCTGCTGCCCCACAAGAAGCACCCTCCCAGGCCTGACCCTCTCTCTGCTGCCCTGCAGGGACCCCACCCCAGGCCTGACCCTCTCTCTGCTGCCCCACAGGCCCTTCATGCTGCTGCCGCCCCTCATGGAGTGGATGCGCGTGGCCATCACCTACGCAGAGCACCGCCGCAGCCTCACCGTGGACAGCGGCGACATCCGGCAGGCAGCCCGGCTGCTGCTGCCTGGTCTGGACTGTGAACCTCGGCAGCTCAAGTATGAACCAGGGAGGAGGGAGGGCCCCGGCATCCATGACCTGCCCCCAGCGGCTCCCCTCTGCTCGCTTCTTCCCCAGATGGCTGGGCGGGGGTCAGAGAGCAGGGGCTGCAGCACATTTGAGCTGTTCTAAGGGTGTCCTCTGCAAAGGCCAAGCCTGAGTATGGGAACAGATCTATTGTAGACTTTGGCTGCTGTCTGGAAACGTCTCCTGCAGCTGCTGGTCTGCTACACAGAGGAGACACACATTGGGACTGGGGCAGGAGAGCCCACACATCTAACTCTTTGGGATACTTGGGGACTGAGGGGCAGAAGTGGGCCCGTTCTTTCCTCTGTTCCTGTAATTGACACCACATGGAGCCCTTCCTGGGTGCAGGTGCTGTGAGCCCTTCCTCTTTATGTGCATTATCTTAGTCCTCATGACAAGTGCAGGGAAGAGGCAATCATGCCCATCTTACAGATGAAGAAGCTGAGGGTCAGAGGGGAACAGTAGCTTGCCCACAGATACTCAGCTAGCACTTTACCGTGCCCAGATTTGAACCCAGGTCCATACGGCCTCCAAGCCTGTGCTCCTAATTTCCTTCCCTAAATGCCTCTCACAGTAGACTTGTTTGCTGAGGAGCTTTTCTAGAGAAGCGTCCCTGGCCATCCTAGGCCCATGAGAGCCTTTTATCTATCTATCTATCTATCTATCTATCTATCTATCTATCTATCTATATACACACACACACACACATATATATATATATATATATATATTTTTTTTTTTTTTTTTTTTTTTTTGAGACAGAGTTTCACTCTGTTGCCCAGGCTGGAGTGCAATGGTGTGATCTCGGCTCTCTGAAATCTCTGCCTCCTGGGTTCAAGCGATTCTCCTGCCTCAGCCTCCCAAGTAACTGGAATTACAGGCACGCACCACCACGTCTGGGTAGTTTTGTATTTTTAGTAGAGACTGGGTTTCATCATGTTGGTCAGGCTGGTCTCAAATTCCTGACCCCAGGTGATCCACCCACCTTGGCCTCCCAAAGTGCTGGGATTACAGGCGTGAGCCACTGCTCCTGGCCTTATATCTTTTTTTTAACCCTCTGCCAAAACCCAGGTTATGGCCTCCTCTGTCTTCATACGGAAGGCCCAAACCCCATTCTAGGACATGAATTTTCTACACTTTGGCCCAACCAAGGCTCCAGACCAAAGCTGCCAACTGGACGTCTGTGATGCGCCCCCTATAACACAGGCATTATCTGTGACTTTCCTTGTAGGTTGCGTTGATTGCAAATGGCAGTCTATGCTACTCTCTACCATCTCTTTGGTACTTCTGAGCCTCACCAGGAAGCCTTAAAGAGAGAGAATGTAGAGCTAAATACTAGAACCTGGCCATGGTGACCGTTTATAGGCTGAGTGCAGCCTGCTCAACACAAACAGTATACAGCCAAGTGCTGAGGCATGAGTCTGGGTGGGAGCTGCTTCCTGCTTGGGGCAGACCCATAACAGATTGTTTTACATGAGTCTTTGTTTTCTGCCAGTTGAAGCAACAAGGGCTCAGAACACTTACTTACTTACTTACTTATTGATTGATTGATTGAGACAGAGTCTTGCTCTATTGTCCAGGCTGGAGTACAGTGGCACAATCTCGGCTCACTGCAACCTCTGCCTCCAGGGTTCAATTTATTCTCCTGCCTCAGACTCCTGATTAGTAGGGATACAGGCACATGCTACCACGCCTGGCTAATTTTTGTATTTTGAGTAGAGACAGGGTTTCACCATGTTGGCCAGGCTGGTCTTGAACTCCTGACCTCAAGTGATTCACCTGCCTTGTCCTCCCAAAGTGCTGGGATTACAGGTGTGAGCCACTGAACCTACCTCCCAAGCAATTTTTTAATGTACTTATAGAAAAGCAGAAATGTGTGCTCTTCATATGACAGAACATGATGGGGACAGTAATTGCTGATCTGATCATAACTCCCTGGTGCTTCCCACCCATCCTCATCCTCACTCTACACGTAAAGCTCACACATGTGTGTCACATCATTGAAAGTTGCTGTCTGCATACAGTCACACGCACCTTTGGGTCTCTTCTGGGCAGACCCGAACACTGTTTCAGTTCCTTCCGGAGGCTGGATGCCCGAGCAGCTACTGAAAAATTCAACCAGGACCTGGGTTTCCGCATGCTCAACTGTGGGAGGACGGACCTCATCAACCAAGCCATCGAGGCCTTGGGTCCGGATGGGGTTAACACCATGGATGACCAGGTACGTCCTGAGAGCTCCACAAAGACAGGCACGAGGACCAGAGTTGGGAATTCTCAGCTCCCAGCATTGGCGGCCCTCTGTCCTAACCCTGAGATTTGCTCAGCTCTGTACTTCGAAAAGGCGGGCTACCTCCCTGAATCCTGCCCTGCCTGGTCATGTGGAATGTCAGCTTGGAGACTTCTAGTATCCCTTGGAAGAACTTTGTCATGTGGCTTCCGCTTCCCTGGCTGGACAGCTGGCCACTGTTTCAGGTGGTGCAAGGCTAGGAACGAGTCTGGGAGAGTGAGCTTCATCTCCAGCTAGGGACACGATCGCTAACCCTGTAGTACAGCCTATTGTGTGCCAACTACTTGCCAGGGCATGGAAACCCTTGTCCTCATGGAGATACCATTTTAGTGCAGGAGACAGATAAGAAGAAACACAGACATGTAAAATGTAGAGGATGTTAAAGTGCTGAGGACTAAAATGAAGCATGAAAATGGGTAGGAAATGTGGGAGGTGATGTAGTTTTAGATAGGCTTTAACTTGAGTTTCGCATCTGTTTTGTTTTTTACTTTTGCTGTGAACAGCTACCATTTATATAGCATTTACTATGTTCGATGCATTGTTCTAAGTGCTTCACATAGATTAACTCACTTCCTCTTGACAGCAGCCCTGTGATGTAGCACTATTATTTTCCCCATTGTATAGATGAGGAAATTGAGGGACAGAGAGGTTGCTTTACCTAAGGTCACACCACTAGTAAGGAGCAGAGCTGGGTGGAGAATCTGAGCAGCTGGACCCAGCCTCTCAACCACTATGGAATATCCTGTGTGTTTATTTGACACTGTACTGAGAGCACTTACAGTGTGCGGAAGGGCACTGTGGGGTTTGGAAGGCCACACAGAGCATGGGGAGTTAGATGACAGTGGCGAGTTAAGGCAGTGTTCTCAGATGAGGTGACGGCACAATGCAGCCTGTGATGAAACTCCAGGCAGACCGTGAGGCCAGGGTGGACCCTGACAGATGGGATGGGCTGCAAGGGGAAGCTTCCTGCTGGAAGCGGTTGAGCCGAGCCTGGGGGAGGGCAGGATGGGGACGGAGCAGAGAGGAGTCAGGAAGGGATTCCAGGGAAAGGGACATAAGGAGTGTGGGGTGGGGCAGTCAGGGCGTGGACCCAGGCCAGGGGTTGGGGAAGGACCACAGGCCCAGCACTGGACTTCCAGAGGGCAGTGGCAGGTGACAGGCTGCTGTGGGATCTCGTGGGGGCCTCTCCGTCCACACAGGTTCCCGGGCTTTGTGGGAGCTTTTGTCCCAGTGGAGTCTTCCTTCTTGAACAGCACAGTGTGGAAGCCCGTGGACTTTAGCTTCAGATAGACCTAGGATTTAGTGGCCATGTAAGAGCTGTAGCATCTTGAACAAGTTACTCTGCCTCCCTGAGGCACTTCAGTTTCCTCCCCTCTAAGATGGGGGATGGTAGCACCTGACACATAGGGTTGGGGGAAGTCTGCATCCAGCACATAGTCAGCACTCACTAAATGTTCATTCCGGTTTTTATTGCCAATATGATGATTATTGTAGTCGTATTGCTGTTGATATGATGATGATGCCTGATATCTGCGAGCCGGCCTGGTTTTATTTGGCCTCTTTATATGTCTGGAGTGCGTGGGGACAGGGACAAGGGAAAAAGCAGTGTCTCCTCACCGGGCCCGTCATTTGGTTTAAACTCCAAATTGTATACAGATGTGTGGAGAAAAAAGTAAGTCAAGTCTGTCCGCAGGGAGATGAAACAAAGCCAAATTTTTATTCTGTGGTGTTGGCCTTTGTCTAAGTGCTCAATCCTGTTTGTTCCCTAAACCTTAGTATTTATAGAATGATCTGTGGGTAAACAGCTCTCTCACCCCATGATTAATCTCAGGCCATTGCTTTATCTCTGGCCACTAGGCAAGGATTTATGAGGTAAGGAGATCTTGTCTACACACAAATATCCTAATAAATAACATCACGGGACACCAGGCAAACACTTGCTGGGATCCAGCCGTGGAATAAACAGTTTGCACTGCCTTTGCTGTTGCCGGCCACAGAGGAGGATTCCCAGCCAGGGAGGCGGCCCCGCCAACTGCCCACCTAACCCAGGGAGACAGCAGGACTCAGCTTGCAGGAATGCTCTGAACTGCTCAGTAGCAGAAGATGTTGAAGTCAAATGCCTCCTCTACCGTCTCGTGGGACGGCGCAAAGCTTGGGCTTCACAGCTTATGGAGGCCTGGTTCCTGCCCCGAGTTCAACCTCTCGCTAGTTGTGTGACTTTGGGCAGTCAGTTCCCCTTCTCTGCTCCTCAGCTGTAAAATGGGGAGGATGGGAATATTACGATGATGGAGGGAGATGCTGCATGCTCATCACTAGCAGGGTGATTTCCATGCACAGGGCCTGGGATGGCGGCTATGAGGCTGTATGGCATAGTAGCCATGAGAGTGTTGTTGGTATTTTAATTACATAGCTCTTAATCAAGGTAAGCTCATTCTGAACTAAGCACTTTATACATATTAATCCACACTCTACAACAACCCTTTGAGGGAGATAAGATACTGCTGTGGTTCCCCATTTACAGATGAAAAAACTGAGGCACAGAGAGGGCAAATGACATGTATAAAGTTTACAGCTCCCCATGGCAGAGGAGACCTTGGCACCGAGCCTGGCTGCACGGCCTGTGCTGGGCCCTGCTCCAGTGTCCTGCAGTGCTCATGGCAGTGCCCCCACTCACCTTCCCCATGCCCTGTGCCCAGCAGCCCAGGAAGCACAGAGCCTGGGGGACCACAGGATGCTCGGCTGGGGTGGCGGGGTGCCCGATCTGTGGTTTCTGGGGCAGAGGCCTGTGGGCACATGGTGTTGTGTTCTGTTTGCAAACAGTTTAGCACGTGCATTTGATTTGCTCAGGGTATGACGCCACTGATGTACGCCTGCGCTGCTGGGGACGAAGCGATGGTCCAGATGTTGATTGATGCTGGGGCAAACTTGGACATCCAGGTGAGGAAGCCCCACAGAGCTGCACCCAGGCCCTAGGCCAGCAGGGATCACTCCGAGGGCTCCAACAAACACGCTGGGCGTGATGTTTTGGGCAACTGAGTAGATGTGTGTCAAAAGACCGGAAAGACAAGATGCACAGAGGCCACTGTTAGCCAGGGAAGTCTCCTCAAGATTTGGGCTTTCTGTCTGAAAAGGAGTGGACTGAGGCGGGAGTGAGTGGAGAGATGGGCTGTGATTCTGTTTTCATGATATCTTCCTCCTTTTACCAGCCTAATCTCCAGCCATTCCTTCCATCCCCAAATACTTCTAGCTCTGCCTCCCTCTGAAGCATAAAGCACTCCCCATCTGCCCTCTTTTGCCCAGGGCAGACATTGCTAATTAAATACCTATCCTCTCTTTTTGAGCCTTGTCCACTTTGTGCTCCAGGCAAACATTATCAATCGAATGTAGAAAGCACTTGTTAACTCTGGTTCACCATCCCTGCAGGGTACTCCCTTCGCTCGGGTGCCCAGAAAACACAGATGATTTGTGGTATTTTCCAGGTTCCAAGCAACTCCCCCAGGCACCCTTCCATCCACCCCGACAGCCGGCACTGGACCTCACTGACATTCGCTGTGCTGCATGGACACATCTCTGTGGTCCAGGTGAGCTCCTGCCAGGTGAACACCATGCCCCCCAGCTTACCAGGTGACCTGGGCCCCAAGCACAGCCCCAGCCTCAGCTGAGTGGGCAGGTGCCCTGAATCAGAGATCCCAAAGGCACTGCTTGAGGCCAGCTCACCTGATCGATAGAGCAGCAGCCCACCTGAGTTGCCTCAAGGAAAGGGGTTAGTGCAAGGACAAATGGAATTTTAGGAAACAAGACCCAGGTCCAGGCAGCACTAGGGTCCTGTCATGCCCTCCCGGCATCTCTCTCTCTCTCGTGTCGGGCACACTGGGGGCTGTCCCAGTCCCACTCAGCTTTCTCGCCTACAGCCGCCTTTCCGACCCTTCCCTTTTCTCCTCCCTCGTGAATTCTACTACAGGGCCAACTCTATATCATGGGGTCTGTGCAATTCTGTCCCCTCCTTAGTTCCTGAGAGAGGTTTCGGATTGGCATGGCTCACCCGTCGAGCCAAGCCACAGGTTGCCCACCTCAGCTCAGGTAGCTGTGCTGGCGTGGGGACAGTGGTGGTTCTAGAAGCAGAAGCTGTGGGCAGAGCAGCTCCCCATGCCAGCAGGGGCTCCAGCCACGTGCACTTACTCCCAGGTCCTCAGATCGCTGGCATGCGCAGGGTTTCATGGCACCCCTTCCAGGGAGTTAGCGTGACACCCTCGCTCCCCACTAGGTTGCAAGACCTCTGAGGGCAGGGATTGTGTCTGGCTGATTCACAGCCCTAGCCTATCACAAGGACTCAGCGAGTGGCTGTTACCCACTGGCCACCACATCCTGCCGCCTTTGCCTTATAAGAACCGGAGCAAAATCCCAACCTCAGTTCAGACTGGGCCTGCAGGGCTGTGCCCTGAGCTTGCCTGGATCCGTGCCTAGTTTTGCCCCAGTGAGCAGGCCCCCGCCTCCACGGCCTTGGCACTGGTACAGGGAGTGACTGATTTCTGACTGCTGCATCTCCAGTGATGTCTGTCCTCCATGCCACAGTCCATGGGACTGAGAGGTCAGCCTGAACTCCACTCCTGGTATCCAGGGGAAGGGCGGTTGGGCTCCCCTAGACTGCCATGCATGCTTGGAGGAAGCTTTGGTCTTCAGGAGCCTGGGAGGGCTGGAAGGTTGCTCCCTCCAGAGCAGCTGGTCAGGGAAGGTGGAAAGGGAGCTGAAAGTCACCAGTTGGAGTAATGCAGGCCCCACCCCTGCCCCAAGGCAGAGCCAGGACCGGCTCATCTGGAACTGCCTGGTATCTGTTAACCCTGCCCCGTCTGTCCCCTGTCAAAGCCCGCCCTTGCTAGCATGGGGAGAGGCCCTCTGCTGTCCTAGACTGGGACTTCCTGCTTCAGCCCCACCACCTGCCTTCCTGGGGTACCTGCTGTACCTCTCCGACAAGAAGCCTAAGGGAAGCAAGCCCCTCTTCCCATTCTGTGAATGAGGAAGACTGAGGCTCTGGGAGTTGAAGTACCTGCTCGGGGTTACTCATTGGCCAGTGGCCAGCACTGACACCCTGCTCCTTCTGACTCCAACACGTGCTGCCACCCAGAGCCATGGTTTACCATAGATTGCGGGCAACATTTTCTGTGCTGCTCATCCACATGTGTTCTCAGAAAGGTGGCTGCAGTCAGTTCATGGGAAAGCATTTGAAAGACGGAAAAAGCTCAGAGGTCCTCACAGCTTAGGGGCTTGGTCTTGGACCACAATAATGGAGTTGAAGATTCTAGAAACTTTGAGCCCTGAGGATAACCTGGAGTTCTAAAGTTCCAGTTCCTCAGCTGCTGGGGTGAACTGTGTCTTGGTCACATGCCTGGAGAGAAGCAAAGGCCCTGTCCCCGAAAGCACCCTGGCCCTTCCCAGGTGCTCCCTGCCACGCTGAGCAGTGCCCTCCTCCTCTGTGCCCCTGGCAGTTGCTGCTGGATGCTGGTGCCCATGTCGAGGGCTCGGCAGTGAACGGCGGCGAGGACAGCTATGCGGAGACGCCCCTGCAGCTGGCCTCTGCGGCAGGTAGGCACCTGCTACCCGGAGGCTCTGTCTACCCTTCCCTGCAGTGCCCCCCAGCCTGGCCAGGCATGTAGCTGGACGTGCAGGGGTCTCTTTAGCACACACGGACCCCATGCAGGGGCCTTAAAACCCCTTCTCTGGACCACTGGGGGCTTCCCCTGGCCCCACCCATCAGTTTCTGTTGGGCTCAGCATCTGGCAGGACCCAGCAGGGCAGGGAGGCCCTTCCCTCTGGAGACCCAGGGAGGGGGAGCAGGGGCAGGGCACGGCCAGCCTTCTTCCTCTCCCTTCACTTCGTCCACCAAATGCAGATGAGTGTGGGGTTTACTGACTTATTCCAGCACTCAGAGCTGCGAGAATCCTGCTCTCCCTTCCCTTTCGCCTCAGCTGCCCTGGCGGCTACTGTCTCAGTGTCCTCCGTGCTGCCCACCTTCTCTTTCAGGGAACTATGAGCTGGTCAGTTTGTTGCTGAGCCGAGGCGCCGACCCCCTCCTCAGCATGCTGGAGGCCCACGGCATGGGCTCCTCCCTCCACGAGGACATGAACTGCTTCAGCCACTCAGCTGCCCACGGCCACAGGTACCTGCCCGGGATTCCCACCCTGTGTGACATGAGGGCACTGAACTAAGCTCACAGGAGCCTCAGTTTCCCCGATGGGAGCAAAAGAGCTAGGCCCGGAGACCTTTCCCAAAACAGGGGGCCTGTGTGCTAGTAAACCAGAAACATGGGGGAGTTTAGCCTGCACAGGGCCCAGAGATGGGGGAGGCCCCACAGCTGATTCCTGGCAGACCTGGGACTGGAGCCTGGGCCTCCCGACGCCCAGGGCAGACCGTCCCATTTCCCAGTGAGATGCCACTCTGCAGCTGCCAGAGCCCACTCAGGACCACATTGCTTCCCATGCCTGCTGGTGGTCCTCCAGTGCCCAAGTGGCCTTGGACGTCCAAATAGCATACGGCTCAGCTGTGCAGAGGCTTCTGGTGCAAAATTGCACCCTGCCCCAGGTGCAGATGGTAGAGCTTGCTTTGTGGGGACCAGGCCTGCCCAGGGGTGTGGCGGGACAGCAGCAGGCTGAAGTCAGGGACAGCACGGAGGGGCAAAGGGAGACCAGACAAGGGCTTATTACAGGGCAGAAACGGGGCTGGAAAAGCGGGGCTGGATAAGCAGGGCTGGCAGGCAGGACACTTACTTCCAGTTCCCCGACACCATTCTTGCCACCAGCCTCATGTTCTGGCTGGGGTCCCCTCCCCTAGAATGCTTTTCTCTCCAGCTGTCTCCAGCCCACCCCCACATTCACCCACCCCAGCCACCCTCACCCTCCAGGCGCCATCTTTCACATCACCACCTCTAGGCCGCTCCACCCCACCCAGTGCCTGCATCCCCCATGGAGGCCTCTTCACCCTGCGTGGAGACTGCCTGCCTGCTCATCTGCCTGTCACTCTGAGCACAGGACCCTTGGGACAGTCACCGTGGCTAGTTCACCTTCACATGCCAGCGCCTGGCCCAAACAAGGTGCTCTGTAAACTGCCTGAACTAGCAAGTCCACACGTGAGGAGGAGCCCTTGGGAGGGACCTTGGGTCCTTGGAAGGGCACCTCCAGGCCATGGGCTTGGCAGGTAGGAGGAGGATCTGCGGGGTAGCCGTGGAGCAGGTCAGCCCCCAGGAACCTTGCAGCACCACCCATGCTGCATCCATCCCAGAGCCCCAGGCCACAGGAGGTGACAGAATGAGCCTGGGTCTTGGAGCCAGAAGTCCTGGGTCTGTACCCCCACCTGGAGTGGCCTTGAGCAAGATGGATCCATCGCCTATGACGGTGATGTGTCTGGGCTCTCACGAGGCTAAAAGCAGCAGCACGGGGGAGCGTCCTCTGTGGGGTCTAACATTCTGTGTCTTCATTCATAAATATGAATACATTCTACATGACATCCGTCTTCAGTTCATCCTTATCAACATGAAGGGACCAAATGAGTACTTACTGGGCTCTTCCTGTGTTTTAGACACTTTCACGTGCATAGTCAGCTGCTATTTAGAAAGACCTGCTGTGTTTCAGGCTCTGCATTTAAACCCTTTACATCAGCCTCACATAAGCCCCAGGAAAGTGTGATATAGTGACACCCTGTAATATATCCCAAAGCAGTCAGGGCTCAGAGAGGTAGAGTGACCTGGCTAAGGTCACACAGCCAGGATGGCAGAGCTCGCTCAGCCCCGAAGCCTATGGCTTCTCTGCAATACGGGGATGGTAGAAGGGTGGGTTCCCCTGCACCCTGCCCTGCCTCTCAGAGGTATATGGGGATTGGTGACCCTGGGACCCCTGGCCTGCCTGGAGGAGGAAGACCATGAAACTCCGAGCCCTCGGGTACCCCAGAGCAGCCCGTCGGGGCAGGAGGGCACTGGGGGACAGCTCAGGTGGGCACTGCCTGTGGGACTTCAGCCCTCACCTTCATTCATCCCTGGGCCTGCAGGAACGTCCTGAGGAAGCTCCTGACGCAGCCACAGCAGGCTAAAGCGGACGTGCTGTCCCTGGAGGAGATCCTGGCCGAGGGTGTGGAGGAAAGTGATGCGTCGAGCCAGGGCAGTGGCAGCGAGGGGCCCGTGCGGCTGAGCCGGACCCGCACCAAGGCCCTACAGGAGGCCATGTACTACAGCGCTGAGCACGGCTACGTGGACATCACCATGGAGCTGAGGGCACTGGGTGAGGCCTCACGGGCATGCACACCCATGTCCATGCATGCATATGGACACACACGGTCACTCCCTGCTGCTCTTCAGCAGGCCTGAGAGGGCCAGGGCCTGCAGGGACAGACAAGCCCCAGGGCAGCTGAGCACAGACTGGGTGGAGGCTGGGACCCCCCTGCTACACGGCCAGTTCAGGAGGGGCCCTGGGCCTCAGACAGTGCTCAACAGTGCCACGTCTTGGGGTCATGGCCCAGTCCCCTGCCCTCGGGCCCTCCACCCTGCCTGGCTGGAGCTTCGCTGCCCCCTCCCCAGTCACAGCCCAGGGATGTCGAGCACTGGGAGCCTCTGAAGCCCCGGGACTCCACGCTGTGAGGCGGCAGTCCTGTCACTCGGCTGACCTTGCACTCCTTGGGTCTGCGAGTCTGTGGACTTTTGGTGTCCTCCAGGGAGGCTAGTCAGACAGACTTAGGTCAGGTCCTGTGTTAGCTGCATACCACGTCCTCTCTCCAAGCCTCAACTCCCACCTCTGTGGCTTTGGTGCTAATGATCCTTATCTAAGAATGAGGTGACATCACCTGAAGTACAAGGCGTAGTGGCCACCGTGAGCACTTGGTGGATGACAGCACCGTCACTGTCATCACAAGGCCACAAACCCCCAGGGCCGGGCCAAGACAGCAGTGAGTCAGCCTCAGTGTTCTTCACCGTAAAACAGAGACGTCACTCCCACCTGCAGTCAATAACCCAAGGATACTAACACACCACACTACTGTCAATGTGTCGCTGGGGAATGCCGTCAGTTCTTTGATCCACAGTGAGGTTGGGGTAAGAAGCTGTCTCTCTAATTACCAGGGACAGGACTAGTTTATGTCATGAACTTCCCACAGCAATGTTAAGTTACAGCCCCACTGACACATGCTGGGGAACTGTAAAACAGTCATTATGTGCCTGGGGATGTGCAGCGGCTTTCCAGTGCTCTGTGTGCTGGAGAGCCCCTCGTGATAGGACCGGGTTCGTTTCAAGCTTCCGTGCAGACAAGGAGGCCTGTGTGTCCTTGAGTGCCTGGCATATTCTCTGGCCATCCAAGCCCTCCTGGCCACCCCTCCACAACTAATGAGACCTCTCTAGCAAGTAATTCTTGAGCCCACTAAGCAACAAGGCTACTTTGGGTGCTGGGCCCATACTTCCAAATCCCCAGGCTGGGCGGTCAACTTTCAGAGCTTGAGTTCCCTGCATTTGGGCCGAAGCCATTCCTCCACCTCATCTCATGAGAACCTGAAACTCCACTCTGACCTGCCAGCAAGACCTATTAGAATGAATTAAAGCTTTCATTCTATGGCCATCCTGAGAGGGCCACTCCATGCCCAGGAAGGGGGCAGGCGGGAGGGGGCGGGCGGGGTGCTCTGCAGACAGCGGGGGCATCCCGAGAGAGTCTGCCCAGAAAAGGCTGTGGTCTGTGCCGGGAGCGCTCAGCTGTGGTGCGTGACTGCCTGCCCTTCCCTGCCTGGACCAGGAGTCCCCTGGAAGCTGCACATCTGGATCGAGTCTCTGAGGACCTCGTTCTCGCAGTCGCGGTACTCGGTGGTGCAGAGCCTCCTGCGGGACTTCAGCTCCATCAGAGAGGAGGAGTACAACGAGGAGCTGGTGACCGAGGGCTTGCAGCTCATGTTCGACATCCTCAAGACCAGCAAAGTAAGTGTGGCCAGTGGCCAGTTCCCAAGCCCACGGCCCAGACTCAGACCACGGGACACACAGATGGACACACAGGCAGACACGTGGACAGACACAGGGACCCCCTCACCCAACGCACACACACTCACACGCCTGCCCTCAGCACCCAGGGACCCCCCCACCCAACACACACACACGCCCGCCCCCAGCACCCAGGCCCCCCCCCCCACTCAACACACACATACACACACACACGCGCGCGCGTGCACGCTCGCCCCCAGCACCCAGGAACCCCCCCACCCAACACACACACACACAGCACCCAGACTTAGACTTGCGCTGCCTGGCTGTAGAGGGCAGGGGCCATGGGCTGGAACCTGACCAAAAAAGCCATTTCGGGAATCACTGATGAAGGAACAGGCATCTCTTGCCAAGCCACATCCAGCAGGAACAAAAGATAGCGGCTGCACTACTCCTGGCCTGGACTTTTGAAATTAGCCTGACGTATCTGCATCTGTGAACAGCCAGCCACAGCGGGCAGCTCACAGGCCCTCTCTCCTCTCCCCACAGAACGACTCCGTCATCCAGCAACTGGCTACCATCTTCACCCACTGCTATGGCAGCAGTCCCATCCCCAGCATCCCAGAGATCCGGAAGACCCTGCCGGCCAGGCTAGGTGAAGGCGCGCCCCCTGCGCCCTGCATCACCACACGTCCTCCCCCTCTTCCCTTTCCTGCTTCCTCCCCACTTTGTCATCTTTCTCCATTTCCAAGCGCCAAGGCCCCAGCCTCAGTTTCTCTGTTCCTCACCTCTGTGTCCCACCCCCAACCCCAGACACGCACCTCACAGCACACTCAAGCAAACCCCAGCAGGGGACTCCTCAGCCATATCCCTCTGTCTCCCCGCTTTTCACAGATCCACACTTTTTGAACAATAAGGAGATGTCAGATGTGACCTTCCTGGTGGAAGGAAAGCTGTTTTATGCACATAAAGTCCTGCTGGTGACAGCTTCTAACAGGTAGGCAGCCTCAGATAACAAACTCCCAGCCCAGGGGCACAGAAGCACCTTGTTTCAGATTCCAGGTGACAGAGAGTGACTCGCTGGGGCTGTACCCTGCAGCCTCTGCCCCTCAGACTGCAGTCACATTGCAGCAGAGCCCCACTCGCCCCACAGCGGGATGAGACGGGGTGGACCCAGGGCAGCAGGAAAGGGGGGCTCTGAGGTGGTGTTCTTTCTGGCCTAGTTATTGCTTTTATTATTAGAAAACATAAATATCCTGGAATGAAGAGTCAGCATTCTGGCCACAGGCGTCAGGTCGCTTGTAGGGTGGGTGGTGGGGACAGAATTGGGCTCAGCTCAGATGTCTTCCTAAGATGGTGTAAAATGGCACTTGCTGAAAATTATTTTAGGAGCACAGCAGTAATTTTTAAAATGTTCCGTCTTGTGGTAGCCGGTCAGGTGACAGATGGTGCCATCGCCACACAGTGGTGAAGTAAAAGGTTCAAAACCCACCTTGCTTTGTCTCCTTTGCTCCAGGTTCAAGACACTAATGACCAATAAATCAGAACAGGATGGGGACAGCAGCAAGACCATCGAGATCAGCGACATGAAGTACCACATTTTTCAGGTGTGTGGGTCTTGGTGCCGCCCTCTTCTCAGAGGGATGACCCTCCCCCAGGAGCCCACCTTGTGGGCAGCTGTGCATTGGTTGTCATTGTTCACTCTATTCCCAGTGCCTTCTGTATTCTGTTGAATGAATAGAGCATCCAGGTCTTTCCCTGTGCAGAGGTAGCCATCCGTTGTGGGGCTGCAGCTTCAGAGCCTGTCACATGGGTCCTGAGCTCTAACCGCTGGACAGGTGGTCTGGGCAGCCTGCAGACAGACGTGCAAGGACAGATACAAGCCACACAGCTGGGGTGTGAGTCCTTGTTATCAGGGTGGGCTCCCAGCCAATGGGCATTACTGAGAGCTTGTTGGAAATGCAGAGCCCCAGGCCCCACCCCAGCCCTCCTGCATCTTCACAAGCTCCCCAGGTGGCCATGTGCTCAGTGCAGTTTAGGAAGTGCTGGTGGAGGCTGCGTCACTTCTCCCAAGCATCAAACCCCGGCCACATTGGTCAAACACGTGGCCGTGAGGCACACATCCTGACTGTAGATCAAAGTCAGGTCTTTCGGGCTTTAAGCTTTGCAGAACATACAAGGTTACATACTAGAAACTCCAGTCAGGGCAGACAAGGTCCAGAGGAAGACCTGGCTGGGATCTCAGCTGAACCCCACTGAGAGGAGCTTTCTAGAAAGTAGCAACTGCAGGTCTCCAGGCTGTGTGGTGGGCTCAGGGCTGCAAGAGCTGACCCTTATGGGCTGGGACTGAGGCCAGGAGGCAGCTGGCAGGTGGGTCTAGGGCCTTGCCCTGCACAGGAGTGGTTTGTGATATAATAGGAGAGATTGCAAACCCCAGAGTCTCACAGAAGCACATGGGGCCACCTCTAAAATGGCTTTTTTTTGTTTTTTTTGACACGGAGTCTCACTGTCGCCCAGGCTGGAGTGCAGTGGCATGATCTCGGCTCACTGCAAGCTCCACCTCCCGGGTTCACGCCATTCTCCTGCCTCACCCTCCCGAGTAGCTGGGACTACAGGCGCCCGCCACCACACCCAGCTAATTTTTTGTATTTTTAATAGAGATGGGATTTACCATGTTAGCCAGGATGGTCTCGATCTTCTAACCTTGTGATCCACCCGCCTTGGCCTCCCAAAGTGCTGGGATTACAGGCGTGAGCCACTGCGCCCAGCCTCTAAAAGGTTTTAAGCAGTAGGAGGAACTCACCATTACTAACACTTAGGCAGGCAGGGTTCTAAGTGCTTTGCTTGGTTTCCATTGAGGCCTCACAGCACAGTTCCAGGGAGGTAGGTATGTTATTATCCCCTCTTGGTAGAGGAGTCAGAGGCATGGAGAGGTTGAGTAACTTGCTCAAGGTCACATAGCTGGGAAGTGATGGAGACAGAATTCAAACCCAGGATGTGCAAAACAGCCAAGTTTGCATTTGCAGCGGTAAGAAGGGATGGAAGGGGGCATGGCCACCTCCAGGGGACCAGTTAGGGGCTGCTGAGGAATCCAACTGAGTGACAGTGGTGACCTGGATTGGCAGTGGCTGGGGGGATGGAGGGAAATGGACCAGGGAAGAGTGGATGGGACTTGGAACTTGGTAACTGACGGATGTGGGAGGAGGGGAGGCCCAGGGTCTGGCATAAGCCAGGTGGCGTCTCCCCTTCCCTCTTTTCTCACCCCTTAATCCAACTCACTGGAGAATGGGCAGCTTTAGGAACATGTCCAGGTGAGTGGGAGCAGGAGGTGGAGTCATGCTCAGATCAGGCAGGAGGCAGGTCCTAGAGGGGCTACAGGGATCGCTGGAGACTGGGGAGCGCACTTGTGGCCATGGGTGACCACTGCCTGTAAGGGGACCTGTGCGGGCTCAGTCGCCTGTGCTCACCTGCCAGGCCAAGGGAGGGCATCTGTCATAGAACAGGCTCAGCAGCCCCTTGGCACCTCCCGGGGTTGCTGGGAGGGCAAATAGGGGACAGGCTTCAGGTCCACAGCACACACATGCCTTCCCCTGGGCCTCTTGCCAAGTTCTGGCCGACTGTTCTAACTAGGCCCAGGGCACTGGCCTTGCCCCGTGGGTCTCCTGGGTACAGAATTTTGCCATATCCAGGGCATCATTTCAGATGGGGCTTCCAGACCTCAGCTCCGACTTTCCGGGCCTCCCTGGAGGGGTCAGCCTGAAGCCATCAGTCTGGGGTCAGGGCTCCCTAACAAAGCCTGCAAGTTTTCCAGCAGCCCCTAAATACCGCATTGACTCTCATGCAGGCGGGGTGGGGTGGGGGTGTGTGGATCATTATTTTGTTTTCTGGAGGAGGAAACAGAGGCCCAAGGACATCTAGACAGTACTGTCGGATACAGTGTGAGGCATACATTGTAATTAAAAATTTACTACTAGTCACATAAAAAATAAAGAGCAGGTGAAATTGATTTTAATATTTTTGAACTTACAGTATAGCCAAAATATTATTTCAACATGTAATCAATGTAAAAAGTTACTCACAGCCGGGCACGGTGGCTCACGCCTGTAATCCCAGCACTTTTGGAGGCCGAGGTGGGCAGATCACCTGAGGTTGGGAGTTCGAGACCAGCCTGACCAACATGTAGAAACCGTATCTCTACTAAAAATACAAAATTAGCTGGGCGTGGTGGTGCATGCTGCATAATCCCAGCTACTTGGGAGGCTGAGGCAGGAGGATCGCTCGAACCCAGGAGGTGGAGGTTGCGGTGAGCCGAGATTGCGCCACTGCACTCCAGCCTGGGCGACAAGAGCGAAACTCTGTCTCAAAAAAAAAAAAAAAAAGTTACTGAGCATATAGCCCAGAGGGCCCCAACCCTGCCCTTCCCACATGGTTTCTGCAGTATCAGCTTCCAAGTGGCCCACTCAGGACAGAAGGAAACCCTGCTGCCCTTCTACAGGTGGTCCTGTCTGGGGCCTTTCCTCAAGCAGCCTCTAGCCCCACAGGCTGCCTGGCTCCAGGAGGCACATGACCTGTATCCTGCTAGGGACTGCCAGGCTGTGCAAAATTCACCCACCTCTGCCTGCTGGCTGCCCAGCTCCCATAGCAAGGCTCCAGGTGAGCCGTTCTGATCTGACTTCTGTGGCCTCATATGCATTCAAGTGGCCTCAGGGAGATCCATGTGCCACGGATGCCAAGACTGGGCCTTGCCAAAACCAAATCCTAAAATGCAGCAGGAGGTAGCCTTCCAGGCCAGGAAGGGAGCTGCAGCCTAAGGTGGCTGGTAGGCCTGGCCCTAGGGGCTGCCCTGAGGCCATCCCTTAGCAAAGAATCCCAACAGGAAGATCTGACCTGCCTGCCTGGTGCTCTAACCCCAACCCTGTATGAGGGGCATTCCAGGCACTGCTCCTGCTGGTGCCTCACCTTACTGAGCACTCACTCAGTGCCCTGCATGGGGAGGGCAGAGGGACCTGGGCATGGCCTGCCCAAGGCACACACTATCTGGAGGGAGCAGACGGACACTTACTGTGCAATCATGAGCTCACCACCCAGGCTCCAGCAGGGGCTGCAGAAGGCCGTGGGAGCTTCCCAGACCTCTAGAGGTGGGAAGAGGCTGACATCTCCAGGGTGGGCCTTGGCCAACATCTCCTGATGCCTGAACAAGGCTGGCAGGCCTGTCTCCCCACTTCTCTCCCCACAGTTGGGCCTTCTCCTAGACCCTCTGGTGCCTCTGCAGCCTCAGGGCCGGTCTTGACAGAGCCCGACTGTGCCGGCTGGAGCTGTGTTTACTTACACACTTGCCAGCTCCTTGCTGGAGCCGTTTCTTCAGCCAGCCAGAAAGAATTGTTTTTCTTTTTCCAACTGGGAACCTCACTAGGCTCCAGCGTGATGGCAGAGTTTGTAACTGAAACCTCAGCAGAACTAAATCGTTCCCGGTCCTGGACCACCTCATCTGGGAGCCCAAGGCAGGGCTCAGCCTGTCGAGGGGAGCTCCGGGCCTCCGGGCCTCCGGGCCTGGGCTCTGCGCTTTCTTTTTGAGGAAGCACACCTGAGACAGAGCCCAGATGGGGCACTCACCTCCACATTGGAGTCCTTGTGCAAACAGGGGAAGGCAGGAGGCAGCGTCCTCCAACATCCCTTCAGAGACCCTCCCACTGCTACTCCCTGTGTAGAATTTAGATCACACCAGCAATGAGCCACACGGGGCCAGGCATGATGCGAGAGCCCTGCTGCAGGCATCAGGGGAGCTGAAGGACTTGAGCCAAGTCATCTTCCTTCCCTGGGTCTCAGTTTCCCCAGCTGTGAATAGGAACTTCCCTCCTGGGCTCACCGTGTTCTCATGAGGATTGTAGGGAAAACATTCCAAGGAGAGAGCCTGTTATCCGGGCAGGGACTCAGGAGAGAGGGTCTTGGAGTTGGCTTCCCCGGGAAAACACAAGTCTCAGCCTGAGCAGGAGAGGGAGGGAGAGACAGAGCTGGGGACCTGCAGAGGGACAGGCCCCTGGAGGCGGCAGCTGGAGCAGTACCCTGTGGGGCTGGCAAGGACTTTCATGCCTCAGGTTCACGTGGCATTCACATGGGCCTCTTCCCACCACAGATGATGATGCAGTATCTGTACTACGGAGGAACAGAATCCATGGAGATCCCCACCACTGACATCCTGGAGGTGAGACTCGGGAGAGGGGGAGGGGGCCTGGGCTAGGGTGCCCAGCGGCTCGGTCTCCCATTCACCCCCTTCAGAGGGAAGGTGGCTCTTCCTCTCCATCTGACAGGAAGAGCAGTTCCCAGAAAGAGGAACTGTGCACACCACTGAGCCCAGCCTCAGTGCGTGTCCCAGCGGGGATGGTTAGGCCCAGGAGTATCAGAAGGTAGTGGGGCCTGAGGGTGGAGGCAGCAGGGCACACGGCACTCGGGAGCTTTCTGTTCGGTGCTGTCTGGGCCACTGGTCTGGCCATGGGTCCCCAAGACCTGCTCTGCCTCCCTACCAGCTGCTGTCAGCTGCCAGCCTGTTCCAGCTGGATGCCCTGCAGAGGCACTGCGAGATCCTGTGCTCCCAGACCCTCAGCATGGAGAGTGCCGTGAACACCTACAAATATGCCAAGGTGAGGGCCAAGGATGCCTGCTGGCCACCTCCCACCACATGCTCTGCTCCACGGGGGCCTCGGCCGTGTGGCTGCACTGGGGATGAGCTAGGAGATGCAGGTGACCAGGCTGCTTCTGAGGGCAGTGTAGAGGCTGAGGGAGGGTTAGCAACTCCCTGTGTTGCCTGGGGTCACTGCTGCCCACTGGCCATGTGGTAGCTTGGGAGGTGAGCTTTTGAGCCAGCTGCACCCTAGTTCACATTCCAGCTCTGCCACCTGGGCTGTGGTAGCTGGACAAGTTGCTGAGCCTCTGAGTCAAATCAAAGCCATAGGTATTTACTTTTCTCCCCTACCTGTCTGTGCCTCCCTAGCTGTCCCATCTCAACAATCAACATGGTCACTGCTCAGTTGCTCAGACTCAAAACTCAGGAATCATATTTGATTTGCAAAAACCCTCCCATATGCAAGCCACCCACCTCTGAAACACACCAGCGGTTTCTCCACTTCCCTTCATCTCCACTGCCCTCGCCTTGCCCTAAGCCACCACCATCACTCTCTTGGACAATGGCATCAGCCCAGCCTCCCTACTTCCTGGCTTTAGCCCTGCAATCCACAAGCTTCTTTCAAAAGTTCAAAAACCATGGCCAGGCACAGTGGCTCACACCTGTAATCCCAGTACTTTGGGAGGATGAGGCAGGACCAGGAGTTTAGACCAGCCTGTGAAACATGGCAAGAACCTGCCTCTACAAACTAGCTGAGTGTGGTGGCGTGCATCTGTGGTCCCAGTTGCTCAGGAGGCTGAGGCAGGAAGATCAGTTGAGCCCGGGAGGTTGAGACTGTAGTGAGCTGTGATCATGCGCACTCCAGCTTGGGCAAGAGCAAGACTTTGTCTCAACACAACCCCCGCCCCCCAAAAAAGTACAAAGACTGTGTTACTCCCATACTTAATCCCACCAAAGGTTTTCCACCTACTGCAGGCTAAATAATAGCCAGCCCTTATCATGCCTTCCAAGGCCCCCAAGGTCCTGCCCACATCTCCCCTCACTCTGCCATGCTTCCTTCTCAGCGTGCCCAGACCCCAGGACTTTTGTGACACTTCCCTTTTCCTGTAAAGCTCTTTCCCGCCCTTCATCTTCACAACTGGTGTCCCCAGGCCTCCCCTGGCCTCTCACAAGCCATCCTGTCACGTTGGCTTTACCTCCTTCACAGTCTTCTGCAGTTACCTTGTCTTTGGTTCCTCAGATTCTGTCTGTCTCTCCCAAACTAGGACATCAGCAGCACTGCAGAGATCTTGACCTCAGAACTGAAAACCCAGAGCGGCCCCTTGATATGTGTTGAGTGAACATCTTTATCCAGCATTTACCATGTGCACAGTCACATGCCAGGCCTGGTGCTGAGCCCTGGACACCCAGTGGTGGACAGTCCCCGTTCCCACCCTTAGGAAGGGAACTTCCAACCCAACAGGGATGACTGCCACTTAACAGGGCAGCATGACAGTATGACACAGGCAGGAAAATGACGGGGGCTGAACAGTTCAGATATAGCAGAGGTGGCCTCAGGATGCAGGGACAGGGAACGCCTACCCTGGCCAGAGTGGGGCTTAATCAGGGCTGTGGCCATGGGTAGGTAGTATTTGGGGGTGAGGGTGAGTGGGGCTGTACTAAGGCGATGGGCTTCACCCCTCCTCTCTCTGCCCTACAGATCCACAATGCCCCAGAACTGGCCCTGTTCTGTGAGGGCTTCTTCCTCAAGCACATGAAGGCCCTACTGGAGCAGGATGCCTTCCGGCAGCTCATCTACGGCCGCAGCAGCAAAGTGCAGGGCCTGGATCCACTGCAGGACCTGCAGAACACCCTGGCAGAGCGCGTGCACTCTGTCTACATCACCTCCCGGGTGTGAGGCAGGGGGCGGAGGCTGCCGAGGCCAGGGCCTGTGGAGGTGCCAGGGCCCACCATGTCGGGGTATGGTTGTAGGCCCTCTTGGAGCCAGGTTCACGGGGCTGTTTCCTCCTCCTCCCCCAGATGTCCCCCCTGTCACCGGGCAGCTCACCCTCATCTCCTCTGCCCTAGAGCTGTTTGTTCAATCACTGATGGGCAAAGGGGAGATGTAGCTAACTGGTGGCCCTCCTCCCCATCTCAGTTTGCAACTCAAGGGCAGCCATGCACTCCCCCGGGGTGTCGCTCTCCCCTCCTGCAGGTCAGCAGCTGATCCTGATCCACCTCCGCCCAGGCCCTCCAAGCTCTACTCACCCCTAGGGCCTCAGTAAACTCAGACCATCCCAACTGGGGCTCCTGGGGGTACAGGAATCCTTATGAATGTATAGAATGCATACTGCCTAGGCCCCCAGTCGTCTGCAGTAATTCAAAAGCTGGTATTTTTCTTCCTAAATGTCACATAGCAAAGGCTGCCCAAATCCCCAAACTTGTTCTTCAAAGGTTTGACAGGCTTAATGTGGGCATCCAGTGGCCTGTGGACCCCCCCCTGCCACCACGACTGCTGCCACCCGGAGTTCCCCCATTGTCTTTGGTGCCTGGGCTTCCAGAGTCCCTCCCATCAGGACTACCAGCTTGCTCAGTTAGCAGCAGAGGGCAGTTCCCCAGCTTGATGGTTTCTGAGCTAAGTCTGGCATGGAGGGGCAAGGGGTAGGGGATGGGGTGCTGTGTAGGAATGGCCTCAGCTCTTGTTTTGCTGCTGGTTTTAGGGGCCAAAGTAAATGGGTGGATTCTGGAACCTCAGGCCTAGACTAGGTTGCCTTTGTGGGGGCGATGAAGCAGAGTCCCCTGGTCAAGTCTCTCGGCTCCTTTAATGTAGGATTGAGAGCTGGGCAAACAGGTCCCACTGGGGACTGTGACTCTTGGAGATTAAAGGACAGGGCATTGATGGAAGGTAAGGGCCAGGAGAAGAGGCCTTTCTGCTGTGTCCCCTCACGGCCTTGCCCTCGAATTCTGCAGGCCCTGGGCTCCCCTGACACCTGTCATATTTATGGACCAGACACTGGGGCAGCATCAGGCACAGTCTGTCTGGGTGCAACTTCTTCAGCTGTCTGGCCGCACCTTAAAAACTATTTATTCACCAAAAGCCCCAGGCATTTCAGAAGGTGGCACTCAGGTCACCCTGAAAAGCCCCCAGGGGCTTGCAATTCTGGAAAATATTTTGACTAGCTGCTTGGCTGGATGTACAAAGAAATAGGCATTATTTTATTGCTGTAATATTGTATGATACTTTAACTGTACAATAATGTTGTCACTTACTGTAAATGTACTATGGTTTTATTAACAATAAACACTCATTAACAATGACCTTGGCCTCACTGCTCCTGGTAGAGGGTTACTCAGAGTTCAGAACTGGGGAGGAGCCCCTTAGGACCAGGAAGAGA